>NC_000003.12:125372240-125523755 GCF_000001405.40 Homo sapiens | reverse complement strand
TAAAACATGCTGTTGACATGCAAGGGACTGAAGTACCT
Organism: Homo sapiens; assembly: GCF_000001405.40. NCBI lineage: Eukaryota > Metazoa > Chordata > Mammalia > Primates > Hominidae > Homo > Homo sapiens. Next base: position 125,523,717 of record NC_000003.12, on the reverse strand, counting down.
TCTGCCTGGCTAGTCACTCCTGCTCCTGAGGCTTTCCCATTCACTCCAGAGCAGGTCACCGCAGGCTCTCCCCCAGTGAGGGCTGTGAGGGGGAATTCCTTCCCTTCCAGAGTCAGAAGAAGGGGGAATATCTATTTCCATAATCTCCATGGAGTTAGCCTTGGGCTTTCCCAGACCTCAGCACACAGGTGTGACTTTGCCTTCATATGCCAAGGAAACCTGTTTTTCTTTGTGTGTGTTCACATAAGGAATCAATTCTCAATTTCCGCAAATTATTTGCATCTTCTCTAGAAGAATCTCTCTTCTTCCTCTCCCCCATGAAGAGAAGCAGCATGGCCCAAGAGCTTGGGTTCTGGGTGTCCTACAAATCTGGGTTTGAATATCTTTCCCTTATTTAATGGCTGTGTGACTTTGTCAAATATTACTGAGCCTGCTTCATTGGTGAAATGGGGAAAATAATGTCTTTTTTGTTTGTTTGTTTGTTGTTTGTTTTGAGACAGAGTCTCTCTCTGTCACCCAGCTGGAGTGCAATGGCACAGTCTCTGCTCACTGCAGCTTTGACCTCCTGGGCTCAAGGGATCCTCCCACTTTAGCCTCCCAAGTAGCTGGGACTACAGGGGCATGCCACCCCATCTGGCTACTTTTCGTATCTCTTGTAGAGACAGGGTCTGACTATGTTGCCCAGCCTGGTCTCGAACTCCTGGGCTCAAGCAATCACTTCGGCTTCCCAAAGTGCTGGGATTTTTTTTTTTTTTTAAGAGTCAGTCTCATTCTGTTCCCTAGGCTGGAGTGCAGTGGTCCTATCATGGATCACTGCAACCTCAAACTCCTGGACTCAAGCGATCTTCCCACCTCAGCCTACTGAGTAGTTGGGATACAGGCACATGTCACCATGCCCAGCTTGTATAATGCCTGTCTTGCAGGGAGGGGCACTGCATGAAAAAGTATTAATATGTGAAGTGCCAAGCACATAAAAAAACTGCAGCTATCATGATTCTGGCCATTGGGCAGGGTGTCCCAAACATGGACCCATTAAAAAAATTCAAAATGCCAGCTACCCTCCCACCTCAGGCTTTTTACATAACCACTAGTTGCTATCTCTTTATCAAAAATAATTTGTTAGCCTATAGACAGCCCCAAGAATAAGGCATATTATCTAGTGCAGGGGTCCCCAACCCCCATGCTGTGGGCTGGTACCAGTCTGTGGTCTGCTAGGAACTCTTGATTTCGAGCAATCTGCCTATCTTGGCCTTCAAAAGTGCTGCGATCACAGGCATGAGCCACCGAGCCCGGCCAAAAGAACCCTTATTTATTTATTTATTTATTTTTGAGACGGAGTCTTGCTCTGTCACCCAGGCTGGAGTGCAGTGGCATGATCTCGGCTTACTGCAACCTCGGCCTCCTGGGTTCAAGCGATTCTCCTGCCCTAGCCTCTGCAGTAGCTAGGATTACAGGTGCATGCCACTATGCCCGGCTGATTTTTGTATTTTTAGTAGAGACGGGGTTTCACCATGTTGGCCAGGCTGGTCTCAAACTCCTGACCTCAAATGATCTGCCCACCTCGGCCTCCCAAAGTGCTGGGATTACAGGCTTGCGCCACCGTGCCCGGCCTTGTTTTTCTCTTTTTTTTGAGACAAGAGTCTCACTCTGTTGCTCAATTCACTGCAACCTCCCACCTCCCAGGTTCAGGCGATTCTTCCTGCCTCAGCCTCCCAAGCAGCTGGGACCACAGGCACACAACACCATGCTCGGCTAATTTTTTGTATTTTAGTAGAGACGGGGTTCACCGTATTGTCCAGGCTGGTCTCGAACTCTTGGCCTCCAGTGATCTGCCCACCTGGGCCTCTCCCAAAGTGCTGGGATTACAGGCCTGAGACTCCCGGCCAAGAACCATTTTTTATTTTATTATTTTTCTTTTTTTCTCACGCTTAACTTGTGGCTTTTAATTTTTTAATGCTCAACTTTTCTAATTTTCCCACAATTAACATGTATTATGTGTATATAAAATAGGGGGAAATAACCATCAGATCCATTCTGCCCTGATTTTAAAATCTATTTTTTTATGAGACGGAGTTTTGCTCTGTTGCCCAGGCTGCAGTGCGGTGCCACGAGCTCGGCTCACTGAGATCAACCTCCGCCTCCCGGGTTCAAGTGATTCTCCTGTCTCAGCCTCCTGAGTAGCTGGGGTTACAGGCGCCCGCCACCACGTCCAGCAAATTTTTTTAGTAAAGACGGGGTTTCACCATGTTGGCCAGGCTGGTCTCAAACTCCTGACCTCAGGCGATCCGCCGGCCTTGGCCTCCCAGTGTTGGGATTACAGGCGTGAGCCACCGTGCCCAGCCCATAACAGATTTATGAACAACTTAGCACTTGAAGATTATAAATGAGCTGAGGTTTTAGGAATGAATGAAAATTTGCTCCCAGGACAGATAAAGCATTCCAGGAAGAGAAAATTGTGTGTTACAGCTTGAAATAACTAAGTGGGCAGAAAAATGTTTCTGTACTTGAAAAATTGAGACCCGACTTTGTATAGAAAGTACTTCAAGGTACCACAATCTGTTACCACCAGTGAGCATTTCCCATCCGGTTGCCATAGTGAAAGCTTGTCAAGGAAGCAGGTTTGGAAAATTTTAAAAAGGGATGTTTGTAGAAAATTATCAGAGGTCTCCAGGGCTTCATGAAACACTTACAACAGAACTCAAGCCCTGCTTCAACAGAACGCTTCACTTTCCTCAAAACCTTGCAAAGGCCAGGCGCAGTGGCTCACGCCTGTAATCCCAGCACTTTGGTAGGCCGAGGTGAGCGGATCACAAGGTCAGGAGTTGCAGACCAGGCTGGCCAAAATGGTGAAACCCCGTCTCTACTAAAAATACAAAATAAATAAATAAATAAATAAATAAAAATTAGCCGGGCGTGGTGGCGGGCGCCTGTAATCCCAGCTACTCCGGAGGCTGAGACAGGAGGATCGCTTGAACCTGGGAGACGGAGGTTGCGGTGACCTGAGATCGCGCCACTGCACGCCAGCCTGGGCAACAAGAGGGAAACTCCGTCTCAAAAAGAAAAAAAAAAAACTTGCAAGTATTACCTTTTGCTGAATGTGTTACTCAACCTGCTGAAAGTTAACAATTTATAGAGCTCTGATCTTTCCGGGAGAAAACAGACCCAATAATAACTGGCAAGGCAGAGGCCCAGAAGGAGCAGGTCAGACTACGCCTCCAATTTCTTTTGAGTTTCGTTGGCTTTAGGATCGCCGTGCCTACTTCAAGTGTTCACTTTCCCCTTGCCTTTCTCTTTGTCTCTCTCTTCACCAGCTGCCCCTGCTTCCTGGGTCTCCTGGCTTAAGCAGCTGACCAGGTCCTCCGCGGGCTTGCGTGTCCTCCCACCCCCGGTTCCGCCTCCAGCTGCAGCTCCGGGAGCCCTCTAGGTTGACAAGAGGGGCGAGGCGATGGCTAGCGGAGGGGCGGGCGTCGCTAGCTGAGAGACTGGTTGGCCGCGGGCGCGGCGGCGGCGCAGGCGCACTGGGTTCGCCGCGCCGAACTGCAGCCATGGAGCAGGCACCTCCGGACCCCGAGCGGCAGCTCCAGCCGGCGCCCTTGGAGCCGCTGGGCTCCCCAGACGCTGGGCTGGGGGCTGCGGTCGGCAAGGAAGCGGAGGGGGCCGGAGAAGAGAGCTCTGGGGTCGACACGGTGAGGAGAAGGGGCGGCAGAGCCCTCATGGCCTGTGTGGTGGCCTAGCGGGCCGGGCTGGGCTGGGCTGGGCTGGGCTGGGCCGGGCCGGGCCAGTGGGCTCGGCCGAGGAGGCCCAGCAGTGAGGGGGAGCGAGGTGGAAAGGCGGGGTCCGCAGGTGCAGTGAGAGGAGGCTCAGTGGAAAAACAGGGTGCTGGGTGTGGGGCGAGCGCCAGGCGCTGCGGGTGACTGAGGGAAGTGTCGAGACTGCGAAGGGGAGGGAAAGGGACCCGGGGGGGCGCCCCCGCAGGCGTGGGGGTCTGGGCCCCGGATGGGCGAGGCTGGAGGAGGGGGTTTTCAGTGGTCGCGTAGCTGGGAGATCTGGACCGTGAGAAGAACGCTGATGTTTCAGCCAGTTGCTAAGGGGTTTTGCTGGGGAGTAGCTTAAAGGGACACAGTGGGGAGTGGGCAACAGTGCTTGAGAAGGAAGGGAATGGGGGACTAGAGTGAGGTGCAGGTCAGGGCCAATAAGGGTGGTTGGCCTGGTGCTGCCATCAGGAAATTGAAGAAAATGTCAGCTTCAAGAAAAGGTACAAATGAGAAAACATTTTTTAGACTCCTCATTTGGCTGTAATTTCTTTGTTTTGGGGGAAGTGCTGTGTTTCCCATTGGAGACTTATTGATAACCCATGTACTTTTTGAAGACCCTTTAGTAATTAGTGATTTTCATTTGCTTGAGGAAAAGGGGAAAAATGTATCATCTTATATTTGTAAGTGCTTTCATTACAAAGTGTTTGCATATACAATTCAAGATTTGTAGACCTGCTTATATTGAAACCTTTAAGAAACTAACTGCAGTGCTCCACATCAGACCACCCTGCCCAAAGTCTCCTTTTGTGTGCATTGCTCACACAGCTCACTTCACCCTCGACCCCCCAGGCTCAAACAATCCTCCTGCCTCAGCCTCCTGAGTAGCTAGGACTACAGGCACACACCACCACGCACGGCTAAATTAATTAATTAATTTATTTATTTATTTATTTTGAGACATAGTCTTTGTCACCCAGGCTGGAATGCAGTGGCACGATCTCGGCTCACTGCAACCTCTGCCTCCCAGGTTCAGGCGATTCTCATCCCTCAGCTACCTGAGTAGCTGGGGTTACAGATGGGCGCCACCACTCCCAGCTAAATTTTTTTTTTTTTTTAGTTTTTAGTAAGGATGGAGTTTTGCCATGTTGGTCAGGCTGGTCTCGAACTTCTGACTTCTAGTGATCCACCCTCCTCGGCCTCCCAAGGTGCTGGGATTACAGGCGTGAGCCATCATGCCCAGCCAAATTTTTGTATTTTTTGTAGAGATGGGTTTTCACCATGTTACCCAGGCTGGTCTGCAACTCCTGGGCTCATGCCCACCTGGGCCTCACAATAGTGCTGGGATTATAGGTGTGAGCCATGGTGCCCGGCCTGAAAGACTTTTAAGTTTAGAGACCAGCTAAGCAGGGACTTCAGGATTTGAAAGTTTTGCCTGCTGTGGAACATACCTGGGTATATAAGGTAGCATGAAGACTTTTTTGGATGTGCTTTTTTTTTCTTTGAGACAGGTTCTCACTCTGTCTCCCAGGCTGGAGTGCAGTGGCACAATCATGGCTCACTGCAACCTTGACCTCCTGGCCTCAAGCGAGCCTCCTGCCTCAGCCTCCTGAGTAGCTGGGACTACAGATGCATGCCACCACACCTGGCTAAGTTTTGGGGTTTTTTTTGTAAAGATGAGGTATCTCTGTGTTGCCCAGACTTGCCTTGAACTTTTGGGTTCAAGCTGTCCTCCTGCCTCAGCCTTCTGAGTAGCTGGGGTTACAGGTACACACCACCACACCCTGCCATTAGGTATTTAATTAATATGAAATTGCAACTAGAATATAAAATCTGTTTATGTTAATTTAAAAGGCATTATATATGTCTTTTATTAATTGAAAGAACACTATGTATATGTAGTTCTAAATATTTGAAAACCCAGGGATGCTATCATGCAGTATAAGTTGTAGTTACATACTACTTCCTGACATTTTTATTCTTTTTTTTTGAGCAGTCTCTTGACCTGTCACCCAGGCTGGAGTGCAGTGGCGTGATCTCGGGTCACTGCAGACCTCTGCCTCCCAGGCTCAAGCGATTCTCATGCCTCAGCCTCCTGAGTAGCTGGGATTACAGGTGTGTGCCACCATGCCCAGCTAATTTTTGTGTTTTTAGTAGAGTTGGGGTTTCATCATGTTCGCCAGGCTGGTCTCGAACTCCTGACCTCAGGCGATCCGCCTGCCTCAGCCTCCTAAAGTGCTGGGATTACAGACATGAGCCACTGCCCTCGGCCTATGTGGTTTCTTAAAACAACTCCCTAATTTAGTAATTCATAAAGAGGCACAAGCCATTTGGGCAAATATTTCAGAATTACTAGGTGTTTAAACAAACATACATTCAGTGCATTCCTTCCCCTTCCCCTCCTCTCCCCTCAAAGAGAAAATCAAACTAAAAACCCGTCCTTTGAAGGTCTTCACATCCCTTCACTTCTCTCCATACTCTCTCTCACTCAGTCTGTCTTCAGTTGAAAATTACTGTAATGTTTTTATGGCCTCATTGTAGCTGTTACTGATAGGAATTTGGTCTCACCAGAAAAGTAAGTTAGTTTTGCGTGTGCTGTGCACAGTGGGGCTCTACTTTTCATTTAATTCCCAAAATTACTTCCAATAGATGGGTAAATGGAACCAGCCAGAGGCTCATAGAGAAGTAATTTGACCATGGTCACAAGCTAGTCAGTAGCATGGCTGGGATTTGAATCTAGGTTCACCTGGCATTGAAATCAGTGCTTCTTCCATTAAGCCATTTTGCTTCATTAAAAAAAAAGTTTAAAATAGTCTTGTACATTGTTTCAATACTGAATTTTAAAGTTTTTAGTGTAGTTAACACTAAGTTGTAATTTTTTTAGACTAGTCAAGTGCAGTAGTGAGAAGGGGGGAAACAGTAGAACAAAGAGTTTGATCTGTAACTGATTTGTGAAATTGAGATAACTTACTATCTTCAGACCAGCCTAAGTTGTAATTTTGGAAAGGAAAAAAAGGTTTGAAAGATGTGTTGATTTATCCATTTTTTTACTACAAAGATGTCTAGGCAAATAGTGTTCAGAGATGAAAAAACAGCTTGCTTAACCACCATTTTTTTTCTTTTTTGAGACAGAATCTTGCTCTTTGGCCCCAGCTGGAGTGCAGTAGCAGGATCCTGGCTCACTGCAAACTCTGCCTCCTGCGTTCAAGTGATTCTTGTGCCTCAGCCTCCCGAGTAGCTGTGGTTAAAGGCATGTGCCTCTACACCTGACTAATTTTTGTATTTTTAGTAAAGAGGGGGTTTCACCATGTTGGCCAGGCTGGTCTCGGACTCCTGACCTCAAGTGATCCACCCACCTCAGCCTCCCAAAGTGCTGGGATTACAGGCGTGAGCCGCTGTGCCCGGCCCAGCCTTATTTTTGACTGCAGATTTTAAGAGGGAGAGTAATTTATACCAATTATCCTACCCCAAGAGGTTGTGGAAACTGCACCGCCAAAGAGTCACAAGACTCTTCTGGTTTTAACACCACTGATCAGGATTCTTTAAACTCTATGTAAGCTCTTTTTCTGTAGTTTTTTAAAGCTATAGTCAGTTCTATTTAAAATAATTTGGAAAATGGAAAATATGAGAAGGGAATTCATTCTCTAAGAAAGTAGTAATTAGCCCGAGCAGAAGGAGAGGAAATAGCAAGGGAGTGGAGGACAGAGTAGTTTTTTAGATTCCATTGAGTTGGCAGTTAACAGACAGGTATTTGCCAGAGAAAAACCATTTACAGTATTTGCCAGAGAAAACCCATTACCTGAGGAATTCATAAGTGATTTTTAGGGAGAGTGCTCTAGACCTGGGAATGCTGATGGAGCAGAGTGATTGAGCAGCTGGTGGTTAAAAATTCCCGTGCACATTGACTACCTTCACTGATTGGCAGCAGAGAACTAAATGGAGTAGACCAGATTGTCGGTAAGGTTTGAGGCATTCTGTTGGTAAGGATAACATTAAAAAGGAAGATAAAGATTATAGGCATAATTACAGAATTCATCACTTTAGCAGCAGATGATAAAATCATACTCACTAATTTTTTATTGATTGAGAAGAGGTCTCACTTTGTTGTCCAGGTTGGTCTCAAACTCCTGGGCTCAAGTGATCCTCCCATTTCACCTCCCAAAGCACCAGGATTACAAGAGTGAGCCACAGCACCCAGCCCCAAGAACTTTTAAAAACCATTTTCTACCTCAGTGGCTCTCAGATTTTTTTGAAGGTGATTCACAGTACAAAATACATTTTCTTTTTTTTTTTTTTTTTTTGAGGCCAAGTCTTGCACTGTTGCCCAGGCTGGAGTGCAATGGCATGATCATGGCTCACTGCAGCCTTGACCTACTGGTCTCAAGCAGTCCTCCCACCTCAGCCTCTGGAGTAGCTGGAACTACAGGCATACACCACAATACCTGACTAATTTCTTCTATTTTTTTTGTAGAGACAAGATCTCCCTATGTTGCCCAGGCTGGTCTCAAACATCTGGGCTCCAGTGATCCTCCCACCTCAGCCCCCCAAATTGCTGGGATTACAGGCGTGAGTCACCATGCCCGACCCAAAAATATATATATATATATATTTTTTGAGACAGAGTCTCCCTCTGTCGCCCAGATTGGAGTGCTGTGGCATAATCTCGGCTCACTTCAGCCTTCATCTCCCGGGTTCAAGCGATTCTCCTGCCCAAGCCTCCTGAGTAGCTGGGACTATAGGCACACGCCACCACGCCTGGCTAATTTTTGTATTTTTTTTTAGTAGAGATGGGGTTTTGCCATTTTGGCCAGCCTGGTCTCGAACTCTTGGCCTCAAGCAGTCCTCCTGCCTTGGCCTCTCAAAGCAAAATACACTTTTACATCATAATCAGCGTACACATACTTTAATATGTGATTGTTGTTTCAGGAAACAATACTTAGCCATTACTGCATGCAACACTTTCTGATATTTTTCTATATTTTTAAATTAAAAAGAAGCATTGGGCTGGATGCAGTGGCTCACACTTATAATCTCAGGACTTTAGGAGGCTGAGGCCCATGCCTTGAGACCAGTATTGGGAATGTAGGGAGACCCAGTCTACAAAAAATAAAAACATTAGCCTAGTGTGGTGACCTGTGCCTTTGGTCCCAGCTGCTCAGGAGGCTGAGGTGGGAGCAAGAACCAGGGAGGTTGAGGCTGCAGTGAGCCATGATCATGTCACTGTACTCCAGTCTGGGTGACAGAGCAAGACCTTGTGTCAAAAAAAGTTTTGGAGGCCAGGTACAGTGGCTCACACCTGTAATCCCAGCACTTTGGGAGGCTGAGGCAGGCGGATCACCTGAGGTCGGGAGTTTGAGACCAGCCTGGGCAACATTGTGAAAGCCCAGCTGTACTAGAAATATGAAAATTAGCCAGGCATGGTGGCACATGCCTGTAATCCTAGCTACTTGGGAGGCTAAGGCAGGAGAATCGCTTGAACCTAGGAGGTGGAGGTTGCAGTGAGCTGTGATCATGCCACTGCACTCCACCCTATGCAATAGAGCGAGACTCGGTCTCAAAAAAAAAAAAAAAAAAAAGTGTTGGTCACAACCCACCAAATTAATTTCATGGACCATGAATGTGTTACTCAGTTTGGAACACTGTTCAAACTTAACATATTGTTGTATTTAAAAATTAATGTTTTCTGAATAGCTCTGCTGTTATTTTAAAAGTATTTTTATAGAAAAAAGCACAAGAGAACTGGTCATATGTTATAACCCTATTTTTCTTAGTTATTGCTTTGGATTGAATGTTTCTGTCTCCCCAAAATTCATATGTTGAAACCTAATCCCATTGTGATGGTGTTTGGTGGAAGGGCCTTTGGAAGGTGATTAGATCATGAGGATGGAGGCTTCGTGAGTGGGATTAGTGCCCTTTAAAAAAAAAAAAAAATCCAGAAGTCTCCTTTTTTCCAGCCATATGAAGATACAGTGAAACACAGCTGTCTGTGAACCAGGAAGCAGACCCTAGCGGAATCTGCCAGTTCCTTGATCTCTGACTTCCCAGCCTCCGGGACTGTGAGCAATAAATTTCTGTTGTTTACAAATCACCCAGTCTATGGTCATTTGTTATAGCAGCCTGAACTAAGTTATTTACTGCTTGAAGTAAGCATCACTATTAGTAAACACAACATTTTTAACCTAGTACCAGCTACCTCTGATCTGTGTAGACAGAGCCCCAAAGGGAAGTGATTTCAATAGGTGGTTCTTATCCTTAACTCTCTGAATGTTTCAGTAACACGGAAGCATCACGCCTAGAAAAAAGGTGATAAGGAAGTATACCATTATAGTAACAGTGGTTAGTGCTGGGTTGTGGGATACAGATGATTTATATTTACTTAATTTTTTTCAGTGTTTGTACATTTAGCATGTATAATTTTCATCATCAAAAAATTTAAATCTAAAAATAATGGCGGAAAAGTAATACTTGAGCTCTTGCCATATGCCAAACAACTTTAAAAACTCTTGATATGCATTAACCCATTAAATGTTCCCGATGACTTTGTGAATTAGGTACTGTCTTAGTCTGTTCGGGCTGCTATAACAAGGTACCAAAGACTGAGTGGCTTATAAACAATAGCAATGAATTGCTTACAGTCTTCGAGGCTGGGAAGTCCAAGATTAAGGAACTGGCAGATTCAGTGACTGGTGAGGGCTGCTTCCTGGCTCATTGTAGGCTGTCTTTTCACTGTGTCCTCACATGGTGGAAGGAGGAGAGGAACTCTCTGGGGTCTCTTTTATCAGGGCACTAACCCCACTTATGAGGGCCCTACCCTCATGTCCTAATCTTTCCAAAGGCCCCACCTCCTAATACCATCACCTTGAGTGTTAGGATTTTAACATACACATTTTAGGAGGACACAAACATTCCATTTATTGCAGGTACTATTATCTCTGTTTTCCACATGAGGAAACTGAAGCACAGACAGGCTAAATTACTTGCCCTGCCTGGCCATCATGGCGAAACCCCATCTCTACTGTTAATAAAAATACAAAAATTAGTTGAATGTGGTGGTACACACCTGTAATCCCAGCTACTTGGGTGGCTGAAACATGAGAATCACTTGAACCCAGGAGGCAGAGTTTGCAGTGAGCCAGGATTGAGTCACTACACTCCAGCCTGGGTGACACTCTGTCTCAAAAAAAAAAAAAAAAGTTGTTGTATCTGTTGACCCTGCACTGAGGTGAGAGGATTGCTTGAGCCCGGGAGTTTGAGACCAGCCTAGGCAACATAGCGATACCTCTTCTCTACGCATAATATTTAAAAATAAAATAAAAATTAGGTGTCTCTTTAAAAGGTCCCTGGTCTCATCTGCCATTCAACAAGCCAGTCCATCTTTAAATCTGTTGAATGTGTCCTTTTAACAATTATGGTGTTCAGTTGTGTTATTCTTGGCACTGTTCTGTACTTTACTACTGACAGTTTCAGTAATTTTATATCATCTACCAACCCTACTGGTATTATTGTTGTGTGCCTGTTTGTATTCTTTAGCTTTTATGATAGCTGATTTTATGCTTTTATCTTTTTTCCTTCTTTGTAACTGGATGGTATGACAGGGTCAATTTATGATTCATATGTCTTATCTTTTTGACTGGGGAGATATTAATAACTTGCTTTATCAGAATGTGCTTTCAGAATTCAGCGAATTTGTCACTGGAGCAGATGGTAAATCAAACTGCTTGGCTGTGGGCCAGAATGTATTATTAATACATGTATATATGTATGTGTCAACCAATGAGGGCTTCATAACCAACCCTGATGTTGGGTGGCTTGTGCTTAGGTGATTTCTTGAGCTTTCTTTTGGTTGATGATTTCCTGCTGTCTCTCTTATTTTCTTAGTACATAAATATATAAAAACTTATATTTTATAAAAATGCCTTGAGGACTGAGATTTTTGTTTTTGTTGGCTGATTTCAACCCACTGGGTTGGCTCTTTTTCTTTATCTTCTTTTAGCATTTTTACCTTCTTCCTCATTTTTCCTGTACGTTTTGGGAGAGCTGTGTAGTGTATCATCTGTTTTCATTCCTGATTCATATTTTTGCACTGTCACAGACCTCTTTCAGACCTTATAGTGGCTAGGTTTAATTTGATATGTGTAGCTTTTTCTTGTACCCTTTGCTGCACTGAGTTTCTACTTTTATCTCTCCTTCATAAAACACTCCAATTATAATACAGTACAATATTTTAAATTAAGTTAAAACCCACCTCAATTTTGACAGTGAGCAAAGAAGAAAAAAAAAGCCATAGCATAGCAGTTATCCTGTGGTCTCACTTTCTCTTCCTTGTTTAGACTTGGAGTTAGTTTGGGTGTATTTGAAACCTTTCTGCAGTGATGCACTTTCTGAAACATATGGCCTAGGGTCTGCCAGTGGTGTATTTATTGTTCTTTTTCACCTTTTGGTATAGACCTGAGATATTCTAGTGGGAAAAGAAAGGAGTCTGCTCTTCTTAAAACTCTGCTGCCTCAAGGGTGGAGCCTATTAACCACTGCCAAAAGTTTAGATGAATTTAAAGTTTAATATAAGATGACTCCTGATTGTTAAAAAAAAAAAATTATGCTAACTGCTGATAATCTTGCCTTTCGGCATATGTATAATATTTGACTTTTGAGAGAGAGATTCGATTTTGGTTAAACCCCAAATTAGATATCAATATTGAGGATCATTCATATTTTTATAATGTGTTTATTCTTCAGTTTAAAAAATTGTGTTAAACTGGGCACGGTGGCTCATGCCTATAATCCCAGCACTTTGGGAGGCCAAGGTGGGTGGATCACCTGAGGTTGGGAGTTCGAGACCAGCCTGACCAACATGGAGAAACTCCGTCTCAACTAAAAATACAGAATTATCCGGTGGTATGCATGCTTGTAATCCCAGCTACTCGGGAGGCTAAGGGAGGAGAATCGCCTGAGCCCAGGAGGCTGAGGTTGCGGTCAGCCGAGATCGTGCCATTGCACTCCAGCCTAGGCGGTAAGAGCGAAACTGTCTCAAAAAACAAACAAATTGTGTTAAAATATATATGATATAAAATTTACCATCTTGATGGTTTAAAAATGTTCAGTCATAAGTACATTCACGTACATTGTACAACCAGCCTCCAGAACTCTTTTCATCTTGCAGAGCTGAAATTGTACCTGTTAAACCACAGCTACCTATTTCCCCCTGCCGCAGCTGCTGGCAGCCATCATTCTACTGTCTGTATGATTTTGACTATTCCGAGTACCTCATATACAGGGAATCATACAGTATTTGTCTTTATGTGACTGTTTTATTTCACTTATCATAATGTCTTTAAGATATATATATCCATGTTGTAGCATATGACAGAATTTCCTTCCTTTTTAAGGATGAATGGTATTCCATTGTTTGTATATATATCACGTTCAAAAAATCCATTCAGCCGGGCGCGGTGGCTCACGCCTGTAATCCCAGCACTTTGGGAGGCTGAGGCGGGTGGATCACAAGGTCAGGAGATCGAGACCATGCTGGCTAACACTGTGAAACCCTGTCTGTACTAAAAATACAAAAAAATAGCCGGGCGTGTGGCGGGCGCCTGTAGTCCCAGCTTCTCGGGAGGCTGAGACGGGAGAATGGTGGCGTGAACCCGGAAGGCGGAGCTTGCAGTGAGATCGCACCACTGCACTCCAGCCTGGGCGACACTGCAAGACTCCGTCTCAAAAAAAAAAAAAAAATCCATTCATCTGTTGATGGACATTTGCATTGCTTCCTTGTTTTACCTATTGTGAATGATGGTACCATGACATCATGGATATGCAAATATCTCTTTGAGACCCTGCTTTTAATTCTTTTGGATATATTAGGCAGAAATGGAATTGCTGGATTATATGGTAATTGTATTTTTAATTTTTTGAGGCACCACTGTACTGTTTTCTACAGCAGCTGCACCATTTTACATTCCCGCCAATAGGGCACGAGGGTTCCAATTTCTCCACATCCTCACCAACACTGATTTTCTATTGTTTGTTTTTCATAGTAGCCATTCTAATAGGTGTGAGGCAGTATTTCATTGTAGTTTTGATTTGCATTTACCTAATGATGAGTGATGTTGATTATCTTTTCATGTGCTTCTTCAGAAAAATAAATGTCTGTTCAAGTCCTTTGCTCATTTTTCCATTTTTGAATTGGGTCTTTTTTTTTTTTTTTTTTTTTTTTTGAGACAGATTCTCGCTCTGTCACCTAGGCTGGAGTGCAGTGGCATGATCTTAGCTCACTGCAACCTCTGCCTCCCAGGCTCAAGTGATTCTCCTGCCTCAGCCTCCCAAGTAGCTGGAATATAGGCAACTCACCACCACACCCAGCTAATTTTTTGTATTTTTAGTAGAGACAGGGTTTCACCATGTTGGCTAGGCTGGCCTTGAACTCCTGACCTCAGGTGATCCACCCGCCTTGGCCTCCCAAAGTGCTAGGATTACAGGCGTGAGCCACCATGCCCAGCCCAATTGGGTTGTATTTTGTTGTTGAGTTTTGGGAGTTCTCTAAATAGTCTGGATCCGTGAGAGAAAATACTTTCTTCTGTTCTTTGGGTTGCCTTTTTACTCTAATACTGTCCTTTCTCTCTTTTTTTTTTTTTTTTTTGAGACGGAGTTTCGCTCTTGTTGCCCAGGCTGGAGTGCAGTGGTGCAATCTTGGCTCATCGCAACCTCCACCTCCCAGGTTCAAGCGATTGTCCTGCTTCAGCCTCCTGAGTAGCTGGGATTACAGATATGACACCACGCCTGGCTAATTTTTGTATTTTTGTAGAGATGCGGTTTCACCATGTGGGCCAGGCTGATCTTGAACTCCTGACCTCAAGTAATCCTCCTGCCTCTGCCTCCCAAAGTGCTGAGATTACAGGCATGAGCCACCACGCCTGGCCTGTTAATATTGTCTTTTGATGCACGACATTTTTAATTTTCATGGAGTCCAATTTGCCAATTTTTTCTTTTACTGCCTGTGCCTTTGGTGTCATATCCAAGAAACCATGGTTAAATCCAGTGTCTTGAAACTTTTCCCGTGTTTTCTTCTAAGAGTTTTGTGCTTTGGTCTTTGAACCATTTAAAGTTAGTTTTTGTGTCGGTGTTAGGTAAGGGTCCAATTTATTTTTTTTGTATGTAGATATTCAGTTTTCCCAGCATCATTTGTTGGAAAAATTGTCCTTTTCCCATCGAACTGTCTCGTCACAAAATTGTTTGACCATATATTCGAGGGTTTATTTCTGGACTATCTGATTTCATAGGTCTATATACCTGTCTTTATGACAGTACCACGTTGTTGTTATTACTGTAGCTTTGTAGTAAGTTTTGAAACCAGGAAGTATGAGTCCTCCAATTTTATGCTACATTTTCTTTTTTTTTTTTTTTGAGACAGAGTCTCGCTCTGTTGCCCAGGCTGGAGTGCAGTGGTGCGATCTCGGCTCACTGCAAGCTCCGCCTCCCGGGTTCACGCCATTCTTCTGCCTCAGCCTCCTGAGTGGTTGGGACTACAGGCGCCTGCCACCACGCCCGGCTAATTTTGTGTATTTTTAGTAGTGACGGGGTTTCACCGTGTTAGCCAGGATGGTCTCAATCTCCTGACCTCGTGATCCGCCCGCCCCAGCCTCCCAAAGTGCTGGGATTACAGGCGTGAGCCACCGCACCTGGCCTTATGCTTCATTTTCAAGATTGCTTTGGCTATTTGGGGTCCCTTGAGATTCCATATGACTCTTAGGATGAGTTTTCCTATTTCTGCAAAGAATGTCAAAGAATGTCATTGGGATTTTCGTAGGGTTTGCATCGAATATATAGATTGCTTTGGGTAGTTTTGATATCTTCATAATATTAAATCTTCCAAATCATGAACATGGGATGTGTTTTCATTTATTTATCTTCTTTTAATTTCTAGCAGTGTTTTATACTTTCCATTGTACAAGTCTTTTACCACCTTAATTCCCAAGTATTTTTTCTTTTTGATGCTATTGTAAATGGACTTATTTTTATAATTTCATTTTCATTATTTTTTTGTTTTGTTTTCTTTTTTTGAGACAGAGTGTGACTGTTGCCCAGACTGAAGTTCAGTGGCGTGATCTTGGCTCACTGCAACCTCCGCCTCTTGGGTTCAGGCGATTCTCCTGCCTCTGGAAATGTCTTAATTTTTCCCACACTTTTGAAGGACAGTTTGCTAGATATAGGATTCTGGATTGACAGTTATTTTTATTTTTTAGCACTTTGAAGATATCAGCTCCCTGTCTTCTGGCCTCCAAAGTTTCTGATGAGAAATTTGCTGATAACCTTATTGAAGATTCCTTATATATGATCAGTTGCTTCTGTCTTGCTGCTGTCAAGATTCTGTCTTTGAAAAGTTATAAAGTGTCTCAGTAAACATCTTATTTGGAATTTGTCAAGCTTCTTGGATGTTTATATACATTTCTTCTATCATATTTGTGAAATTTTCAACCATTATTTCTTCAGATACTGTCCCTTCTCCTTTTTCTCTCTCCCCTCTCCTTACTACCACAGTGCACATGTTGGTCCGTTTGATGGTGTCCTGCATGTCCCTTAAGCTCTGTTTACTTTCCTTCCATCTTTTTTCTGTTCCTTGGACTTGATCATTTCCATTCTCCTATCTTCTAGTTTGCCAGTTCTCTCTTGTGCTTGCTCAAATTTGCCTTTGAACCCCTCTAGTGAACTTTTAATTTCAGTTATTGTACTTTTCAGCTCCAGAATTTCTTTTTGGTTTCTTTTTTTTTTTTTTTTTTTTCTATCACCCAGGCTGGAGTGCAGTGGCGTGGTCTTTGCTCACTGCAACCTCCGCCTCCTGGGTTCAAGTAATTCTCCATGCCTCAGTCTCTGAGTAGCTGAGATTGGGATTACAAGCGCCCGCCACCACACCCAGCTAGTTTTTGTATTTTTAGTAAAGATGGAGTTTCAACATGTTGGCTAGACTGGTCTTGAACTCCTGACCTCAGGTGACCTGCCCGCCTCAGCCTCCCAAAGTGCTGGGATTACAGGCATGAACCATCATGCCCTGCCACTTTTTGGCTTCTTTTTAAGTTTTCTATCTCTGTACTGGATACTTCTATTTTGTTCATACATCTTTTTTTTTTTTTTTTTTTTTTTTTTTTTTTTTTTTTTACTTTCTCCACATCTTTCTTTAAGTTCTCTGAGCATCTATAAGATGATTACTTTAAAGTCTTTGTCATCCAGGCATGGTGGCTCATGCCTGTAATGCCAGCAGCTTGGAAGGCTGAGGCAGGTGGATCATTTGAGCCCAGGACTTCAAGACAAGCTTGGACAACATGGCCTGTAGTCTCAGCTACTCTGGAGGCTAAGGCAGGAGAATCCCTTGAACCCAAGAGGTGGAGGTTACAGTGAGCTGAGATCGTGCCACTGCACTCCGACCTGGCGATAGAGCAAGACTGTCTCAGAAAAAAAAAAAAAAAAATTAGCCTGGTATGGTGGCACAAGCCTGTAATCCTGGCTACTCAGGAGGCTGAAGCACAGGAATCGCTTGAATCCAGGAGCCTGAGGTTGCGCTGAATTGAGATTGCACCACAGCAGTCCTGCCTGGGTGACAGAGCTAGACTCTGTCTAAAAAAAAAAAAAAAGAAATGAAAAAAGGGATAAAGTCTTTTTCTAGTAGATCTGTCATCATGTCTTTTTTAGGAGCAGTTTCTGTTGATGTATTTTTTCCCTCTGAAGGGATCATACCACCCTGTTTCTTTATATGCCTTGTGATTTTTTTTGTTGTTGTTGAAAACTAGGCATTTGCATGTAATAATGTGGTAACTCTGGACATCGAATTCTTCTCCTACCCTGGGGGTTGCTGTTTTTGTTATTTATTTATTTATTTTTTAATTACTGTAGGCTGTCTCCATGCCAAAGATCAGCCTGAGAGAGGTGTAAACTTAAAGTCTTTATAGATCTTTCCTGAGCTTGAGCCTTTTCCTGGGCATGTGTGATTATTTTCTAATTGTCCTCACAAATCCAGTTGTTTTTAAATGTCCAATTTTTTCTTTTGAAGAGACAAAGTCTTCCTGTGTTTCCCAGTCTAGTTTTGACCTCCTGGGATGAACTGATCCACCTGCCTCAGCCTCCTTAGTAGTTAGGACTAAAGACACGCTCTACCACACCTGGCTGAAGGTCCAAGTTTTTAACATCTGGCTTACAAAAGGGGGTCAAAAGAAAAATGAAGGGAGGAAAAACAGGATGCTGGCTTTTGAAGTCCCCTGGAAGTCACTTCAGCCAGGACAAGAGGCTTGCAACAACATGGGGAGGAGCAACAGCAATGACCACCACTTCGTCTGTGCCTCTTAGAAGAAGCAGTTGGTGATCAGAGGACAGATCCTGGATGTTTGGAGAACAAGGCCCTTTTTGCCTACCCTGGCTGCATCAGGCTGTTCCAGGAATGCTGCACAGCTGCCTGCTAGGCACTAAGGGATAGGTAGCTGAAATTGATTGAAATTAACCACATTTTGTCATCCAAGCCTTCCCCTGGGAGTTGCAAGCCTTTATTGGACTCCAGAGTTCCCAAATACTTACATCAGACAGAGTCTGCCAGTGCAGTTGTCGTCTAGGTGGGGAGATGGATTCCTGGTGCTTCCTACTCCACTATCCTCCCAGAATCCTTTGTGTCTAATGTGTTTTTAAGATATTTTCTTACCTTTTAAACTACCTCTGGAAGGCTGGGTGCAGTGGCTCATGCCTATAATCCCAGCACTTTGGGAGGCCAAGGCAGGTGGAACACCTGAGGTCAGGAGTTTGAGACCAGCCTGGCCAACATGGTGAAACCCAGTTTCTACTGAAAATACCAAAGTCAGTTGAGCATGTTGGTGCGTGCCTGTAATCCCAGCTACTTGGAAGACTGAGGCAGGAGAATCCCTTGAACCCAGGAGGTGAAGGTTGCAGTGAGCTGAGATCGCGCCAGTGCACTTCAGCCTGGGTGGCAGAGTGAGACTTGGTCTCAAAAAAAATAAAAATAAATACATACATAACTAAAATACCTCTGGAAAAGTTAATGTACTTTTGTTTGTTGACAGGCTATCATTTGCTGCTGCCATTTTGCAACCCCTGGCAACTCAAGAACTATAAGTAACTATTTTGAAATATATAAACCCAATAATGGGTTTAATTTATATAGCTGAGGCTTTTTTCAGTACCATCTTAAAGGTTTTTGTTGTTGTTGTTGTTTTATTTACTTTTGTCCAGATGACACACAATAATTTTTGGTTGAAGAAGATAGAAATCAGTGTTTCAGAAGCAGAAAAACGAACTGGAAGAAATGCCATGAACATGCAAGAAACATATACTGCTTACCTCATTGAAACAAGGTGGGTAACAGAAATTACACCTGGGCAGGTAGACAGAAAGCTTTTTCTGATAGCTATTGATGCAGACTCTGCTGTATAACAGAATTTTTTAAAGGTTATTTTTTTTTTCGGGATTGACTTTGTTTCTTTACTTTTTTTTGAGACAGGGTCTCATTCTGTTGCCTGGGCTGGAGTGCAGTGGTGTAGTCATGGCTCACTGCAGCCTCAAACTCCTGGGGTCACCTCAGTTTCCTGAGTAGCTGGCATACAGGCGTGAGCCACCATGGCTGGCTTTTTTTTTTTTTTTTTTTGAGATGGAGTCTCACTCTTTCGCCCAGGCTAGAATGCAGTGGCATGATCTTGGCTCACTGCAATCTCTGTCTCCCGGATTCAAGCGATTCTCCTGCCTTAGCCTCCCAAGTAGCTGGGATTACAGGCATGTGCTACCACACCCAGCTAATTTTTTTGTGTTTTTAGTAGAGACAGGGTTTCACCGTGTTGGTCAGGCTGGTCTCAAACTCCTGATCTCAAACGATCCACCCGCCTCGGCCTCCCAAAGTGTTCGGATTACAAGTGTGAGCCACTGTGTCTGGCAGTTTTAAAATTTTTTGTAGAGATGGGGTCTCACTCTGTTGCTCAGTCTGGTCTCAAACTCCTGGGCTCAAGTGATACTCCTGCCTCAGCCTCCCAAAATGCTGGGATTACTCGTGTGAGCCACTGCATCCAGCCCTGTGTCTTTATCTTTTAATGGGTAAACAGCTGTATCTTTTGCTGTGATACTCTTGGTAGATAGCTATATTTTAATGAATTTATTTTGTGGGGAGAGGGGAGGTTAGTGGAATACTTTTGGAATCTGGAATAAATAACATGTATCAAATAACGATACATGCTTTGGAGGATTCCTTGGTCTTAGAATCCCTGTGCAATTCTGTAAAAGAATACCAGGTTCTCTGGCATGTAGAAGTGAACTTGGGCAGGTGGAAATGGTTAACAAAGAATTCTAGGAGTAGAGAATAAGGTCTGAATCCTCTTAGGACAGTTGGGAGTTACAAAAAATTAACAAACAGAAACATTGAGATTGGTGCTTTAGAACTTGGAGTAAATTAAGAATAAAGGGAAGTAGACACCTTTAAAAAACAAAGAAAAAGAACTTGGTGAGTAAAAATAGAAAAGACAAATTATGGAGTAGGAAATAAAAACTCACCAGAAAAGTTGTCTTTTACCTCCTAAGGGAAAAGCTAAAGGAATTAGAGTTGTTTTGTCTAAAGAAAGGCAAGGGAAGACTCAATTTGTTGTTGTCAGTTATTAACAATTTATATAAAGAATAGTGTACTATTTCTTTTCTGTCTGCAGAGATTGAGCAGAAATGCTTTCAATTAAAACAAATAGATATGAGAGAATTGTTGATAGCCGGTAAAATTATAGACTACCAAACCTAGCTGGGCGTGGTGGCTCATGCCTGTAATCTCCGCACTTTGGGAGGCCAAGGCAGGCAGATCACCTGAGGTCAGGAGTTTGAGACCACCCTGGCCAACATGGCGAAACCCCGTCTCTACTAAAAATATGAAAATTAGCCAGGTGTGGTAGTCCCAGCTACTCGGGAGGCTGAGGCAGGAGAATCACTTGAACCTGGGAGGTGGAGATTGCAGTAAGCTGAGATTGCCACTGCACTCCAGCCTGGGTGACAGAGCGAGAGGCTGTCTCAAAAAAAGAAAAAAAAAAAAAACTACCAAACCAAGTTAAGTGTTATAACAATGTTTTAATGTTAATACTTTTTTTTTTTTTTTTTTGAGATGGAGTCTCACTCTGTCACCCAGGCTAGAGTGCGGTGGCGCGATCTCGGCTCACTGCAAACCCTGCCTCCCGAGTTCAAGTGATTCACCTGCCTTAGCCTCCCAAGTAGCTGGTATTACAGGCGCCCGTCACCATGTAGTTTTAGTAGAGATGGGGTTTCACCATGTTGGCCAGACTGGTCTCGAATTTCTGACCTCGTGATCCACCCACCTCGGCCTCCCAAAGTGCTGGGATTACAGGCACGAGCCACCGCATCCGGCCAATGTTAATACTTTTTTAAGAAAAAAAATTTTAACCTACCATTTTCATAGGCTTTACCTGTGAGCTTGCCTTAGTGCTGAACCCTGTGACTTTTCAAGGCTTCTTCCAGGTCTGTGTTTCTGCCTAAAATAAAAGTTTAAATCTTGGTGAAGATTGTCTACAGACAATTCTGAAAATTTAGTTTTCCTTCTACCAGAAAGAAAGAAAAAGAGAGAAAAGAATCTTCTAAAAAAAAAAAAGAAAGAAAATTTTTATACAGTAAGAAGTTTAGGAAATGAGAGAGGTAATGTGGTTCTTTTCAAACTTAGGTCATTTCATGACATATGTATGTTTATGTATCCCAGAGATTTGTAAGGTTATTTTTTAAAGATCATGGCCCTGTGAGAGGATTTTTGTTTCTGTTTTTTTGTTTTTTAAGTTAAATTAGCCACTTTAAAAATAATACTTTAGAAAACAGTGTTAGCTGTAGCCTTCTAAGTAAATTTTAAGTTTACAATGAAAAAGGATATATTTAGTATATGCCTGTTTTTTCACCCACATAGGTATTGATTACTTTTACTGCTAGGAGAGAACCTTGATTTGGATAATCTGGAATAACTTAATAATGTTTGTACTTGACTTTGAAATAAATAAAGGATCATTGTTTTCTTCTGTAGCCCAGTTCTAATTTGAACCTGGGAGTTAGAAGTGACCATACATCAGTAATAGCTAGACTGTGAATACATATTTAAGTAGATCATCAATAAATGTGTGGCACACAAAAGGATTATTGAGTCAACTTTCACAACTATATTTCAATATAAATTTATTTTAAAACATGGATTTTATACTTAAAAACATGTTGGAATTACTTGAAAAATTGGTTAAACAACTGCAGGATTTGGGGTAGGGCCCAGGATTTTACATTTTTTATTTAAAGGTCCAGCTGCTTTCAGTACAGATGGGCGATGGACCTTTTTTTTTTTTTTTAAGGTGGAGTCTCGCTCTGTCACCCAGGCTGGAATGCCGTGACATGATCTTGACTCACTGCAACCTCCTCTTCCCAGGTTCAAGTGATTCTCCCACCTCAGCTTCCCAAGTAGCTGGGATTACAGACTTGCACCACCACACCCAGCTGATTTTTGTATTTTTAGTAGAGATGGGGTTTTGCCATGTTGGCCAGGCTGGTCTTGAACTCCTGACCTCAGGTGATCTGCCTGCCTTGGCCTCCTCCCAAAGTGCTGGAATTACAGGTGTGAGCCAATGTGCCCAGCTGGACCATGATTTTGATTGTTGTCTTTTAAACTACAAAGGCTTTCCATTTTAAGACAGGTTTATCTGTCTTTTCTCTTTATGATTTATGTTTTTTCTGTTTTAAGAAATTCTTCCCTACTCCACATCATATAGACATGGGATTTGAGAAATACTGATTTTGAATAGATTGTTTTATACTATCCCTAAGGTTAACTGACCTTCATCAACCGCAATCATCAAATTTCTTAATTTAATTATGTAGTATTGTTTCTGTAATTCAGTGTTTTGCAGACAGTTGTGGACAATATGAATATTATTGACCCTTCATGTTAACTAGAAATTCAACTTCTGTCATGTAGCTTACCTACCTACCTACCTTCTGGATACAAGTAGAAAGCCCATTTAGCAACTGTCTGTAGTCCAATTGTCGAGAGGGTTTTGTTTCTGTAATTTTTTTTTTTTTTGTAAATTAGCCACCTAAAAAATACTTTAAAAATTAGTGTTAACTCTAGCTTCCAAAGTAAATTCTTTTTTTTTTTTTTTTTTTTTTTTTTTTGAGACGGAGTCTTGCTCTGTCGCCCAGGCTGGAGTGCAGTGGCACGATCTCAGCTCATTGCAACCTCCACCCTCTGGGGTTCACACCATTCTGCCTCAGCCTCCCGAGTAGCTGGGACTACAGGCGCGCAACACCACGCCTGGGTAATTTTTTGTATTTTTTAGTAGAAACGGGGTTTCACTGTGTTAGCCAGGATCGTCTTGATCTTCTGAGCTCGTGATCCACCCTCCTCGGCCTCCCAAAGTGCTGGGATTACAGGCATGAGCCACTGCGCCTGGCCAGTAAATTCTTAAGTTTAAAGTTAAACAGGATATTTTTGATATGTGCCTATTCTATAGTGTTATAGTTTAGTGGGCTAAGATTGAATAAAACTAAAGTCCCTGGTTTTTAATTCCCCAAGAGATTTTTGTATGTGTTCTTCTTCATTGAATAGGAACTCTTTTAAAATAAATATATGTCTCTTTTAGAATAGGTAGTAATGCCTTGATGGCTTGGAAGGCAGTATGTTATTAATTCTTTTAATTTGTAAAACATGGTTAATGATCATATTTTCATTGTGGGGGTTAAATATTACAAGTAAAACCATTTAGGTACTATTGAATAGTTGTTGAGTGATTAGATAAATGAGGTAGTTTTGGGGTCTAATGAAAGTCTTCTCTGTGCTTTTAGTCAGTTTATAATGAAACTACTAGACCCTGCCTTTTTGGGTTTTTTTTTTTGGTGTTTGTTTGTTTTTCTTGAGATGGAGTTTCGCTCTTGTTGCCCAGGCTGGAGTGCGTTGGCGCGATCTCAGCTCAGTGCAACCTCTGCCTCCCGGGTTCAAGCAATTCTCCTGTCTCAGCCTCCTGGGTAGCTGGGATTACAGGCACCTGCCACCACGCCCAGATAATTTTTTGTATTTTTAGTAGAGACGGGGTTTCACCATGTTCGCCAGGCTGGTCTCAAACTCCTGATCCACCCACCTTGACCTCCCAAAGTGCTGGGATTACAGGCGTGAGCCACCGCATCCAACCGCGTTTTTTTTTTTTTTTTTTTTTAAACACTTATGCAGACCTTCTATCAGCCCTGTAGGTGTACTGCTTATAGGCTTTATTTATCCACTTATTTACAAGTTTTGGGTTTTGTTGGTAGTGATTTTGAATAATTTGAAACTTGAGATTAACCCAAGTATTTTTCAGCTGAAGTTGGGCATTGTAATTGGGATAGTATTAGTTATAACTAATGTCTAGGTATACTCTTTAAAATGAATTATGATTTAATAATTCTATTTTTTTGCCATGGGAGCCATTTGTGAATTTTGCATTTCATATTTTGGTTCATTTTTATTAATATGCAATGAATAAATTTAGTAGCAAACTTAAAAAATGATAAAAATGAGCATCTATTGTGCTGAGCATGGCATGATGTAAATACTTTCTCTAGACTATTTGGAGACTGATTTAAGTTCTGTGACTTTTTGTCCTAATGTACAAATACACCTTGTGCATTTCATGGAGGGCAAACAGGTTATTGTCAAGCAAATTAGAAAATAGCAAGGTCCTGATAATGTTTAGAAGACTGGTGCTTCCTAATAGGTCTTACTTATGCTGGCAAGAAATCCTAAGTAGTCAAAATATTTAAAATATCCTTTATATGATTTTACCTTAACTTTCTGCCAAAAGTAAATTGAACTTTTGTATGTATGAGACATGGCATTGCCTACCAGCCCTTTATAATTAAAAGTAAGACTGGAGATGAATTTTTATGACCCCTCTTCGCCACTCTTTCAGAGCTAACTAATATTTTGTTCTTTTGGATATTTCTTGGTACTTGGATTAATCTGATTTATTAATAACCTAAATTGAAGTTTTTGTGGTGTCTTGGTCTTTGTTGTGAATGTTATTCTCTCATTTTGGCAGAAGTGAAGTTAAAAATGCTTTTTATTTAATGAAACACTAGCTAAACTAGATTTTATCATATTATAAAATCAATTATTTATGCATTAAGGCTTTTAGAGTGTTCCTAATAAAACTGTTTCTCTTATGTTTAAACAGGCTTTCTGTAACAGAAAGAAAGTGGTTAGGAGTAAGGGCTTTGAAATCAGATGGATCTGAGTGCTTTATCCACAGACCTTTGTGATCATAGGCAGAGCATATACTGTGCAGCTGTGTCCTCATCTGTAAAATGAGGATAATAAATCTCTGCCTCACAGGGTTGTCATAAGGATTAAATATGAAAATACATGAGGCCAAGGCAGGAGGATGGCTTAAGCCCAGGAGTTTGACACCAGCCTGGGCAACATAGCTGGACCCCATCTTTACAAAAAATTAAAGTATTAGCCAATGTGGTGACATGTGCCTGTGGTCCCAGCTACTCAGGAGGCTGAGGTGGGAGGATTGCCTGAGCCCAGGAGGCGAAGGCTGCAGTAAGTGGTGATTGCACCACTGCACTCCAACCTGAGCGACAGTGGGACCCTGTCTTGAAAAAAAAGAAAAATGTATGAAAAGTTCTTTACTTAGTGCCTGGTTCATAATCATTCTGTAGTTATAATTTTAAAGGTGATTGTATTTATGTGTATGTATTTTTGTTTATAAAAAATAACAAGTGTTGTTCTGTTCCTTTTCAGGTCAGTTGAACATACCGATGGTCAGAGTGTCCTAACAGACTCACTATGGCGGCGATATAGTGAATTTGAGTTGTTGAGAAGCTACCTTTTAGTTTACTATCCACATATTGTTGTGCCACCTCTGCCAGAAAAACGGGTAAGAAGTGAAATGGCAGTAGTTTAGAAGTATTCAGCATTGAGACTATTCTTAATGATTATTTTGTTTACCTAGGCAGAATTTGTTTGGCATAAACTCTCTGCTGACAACATGGATCCAGATTTTGTGGAGAGGCGACGGATTGGTTTAGAAAACTTTCTCTTGAGGATTGCTTCACATCCCATCCTTTGTAGAGACAAAATCTTCTATCTGTTTTTAACACAGGTATTTTTCTTTTATTTAGTCTTAGTAAAATATTCATTTAATTTGGGTTTCTTAAAAAAATTGTAGAATACTTATTTTAAGGATCTTTTCATTAATTTATATGCAATTTATTTTTTGTTATGAATTTCTAATTAATGGATTATGTCATTCTTTTGGTTAACTTTTTCTATTTAAAGATACTGATGATGGTATTTTTGGTATCATTTAAATAATATTAAAATTTGTCTTCAGTATTTTGAAGCCCAGATCTATAAAATCTTGGGTTCACCTTTGGTAATCTTTTAGAAGTTGGATTGAATGTTTAATTTTGAAGTGAAAAGAAATTTTTTTAAACTTCTCTCTCCAATTCCTGCTGAAGTAAGAACAGAATGATAGAAATTTAATTTACTTAATTTGGAATATTTGCTTTGCAATAATGATTTCTAAAATTAACTTCAATTTTTAGGAAGGTAACTGGAAGGAGACTGTGAATGAAACTGGGTTTCAGCTGAAGGTAAGAATATTTATATGAAATTTGCCATGTTCCTTTACAGTTCCCAGCATGGTGCCATGCACTCATTGGGAACTTGGTATTTATTGAATAAATGAATGTTGGAAATCGTCTTACAATAAATATCATTGGTAAGGTTTTCAAAGAAACACTACAATTCACTTTTGATTTGTGTAATTTTAGTTACTTATGAGACTATAATGGGCAAATTTATTCTACAGGGAAAGAACATTTTGTAACAGTGAATTTTTTTTTTTTTTTTTTAGTTAGTGTTTATAGTAATGAAGCAGTAATTTAAATACAAGTTGTAGATTTTCCCCAGTGTACTAGTATTATACCTTGCCTCTTTTTTTCTTCTGTCCTGTTTCCATTCGTATCCCTGCCCCCGACAGTTGCTCACTCTATCACATATGAAAGAGTCCAACCTTAGCAGTCTAAAAGATAAGCCCTTAGTCATGCTTCTTCTGTCTGTTGAGACATGGTGGTCAGTTTGAAATGGGGACAAAGGAGTCATTTTTAAATAGTTCTAAGTTTTATCTGTTAGTGGTACAGGATTATTTAGTTTTTGTAACAGCTTTTTAAATTTAGTCATTAGAATTAGTGTTTGGGAATGAGATGATGATCTGAAAATCAAGGAGCATTAGTAGTGGTAAGCTGGACACTTGAGTTCTATGCTGCTGTTTATTTCTTCCCTAAAAGAAATACAACAAAGGTTATTACAAACTTTTTAAAGTTTTCATCTCTGGTGTAAACTGAATAGGTAAGTAGACTAACAGAATATAAATTGATATATAACATAATATAAATTGTTCAATGACTCACATGATAATACAGTACCAAAAGTTCAATATAATATGTCTAGACAAGAAGAAGAAAATTTTTTTACAGTAATTTAAAAAACACTTCCCATGCATTGGCCCATAGATATTTGAAATTTGGCACAAAACAGACTAGAAGGAGGAAAATTTTTTTCTGCAGAGAAAATATGATAAACCAGTTCTGTCATAAACTGATTCTAATTTATAAATATTTTGGAGTTTTTATGATTTTGAGACAGAGTCTTGCTCTGTCACCCAGGCCAGAGTGCAGTGGTGTGATCATGGCTCACTGCAGCCTTGAACTCCTGGACTCAAGCGATCCGCCTGCCTCAGCCTCCCAAGTAGCTGAGACTACAGGCGCGTGCCACCATACCTAGCTAATTTTAAAATTTTTCTTTTGTAGAGATGAGGTCTCACTATGTTGCCCAGGCTAGTTTCGAACTCCTGGGCTCAATCGATTCTCTCTCCTCAGCCTCCCGAAGTGCTAGTTTTACTGTGCCTAGCTATAAATATTTAGTTGACAGTTCTACTGAAACAATTAGAATTTTCTTGGCTGTAATTCATCACTTTATAACACTCAGAGAGAATGGTAGAATTTGAGTTTAGGGATGGATCTGAAATAACTTGGAAGTTTAAAAACCGATTTATGTTTAGATAGAGTTTTCTGAAAAATAGTTTGATATGTTAAAAGCTAACAAGGAAAAGATTAAAATACAATCATTTTAGTGAATTCTCTTTATATAACAAAAAATTTAAAAATTCTAGTCATTAAGTCTTTACTGCAGTTAATAGTTATCAGTTTTTGTCTTTGAATACAGTTTTTGGCCGTAACTTTAGTGATTCTGAGAAAACTCTGGAGTTTCTCCATCATTATAAAATTGCTATTTACCAGTGCCTTGAATCTTATGTGTAGGTGCTGCTTAAGTATTTAGATAGAATGTTTCATTGTGGGGGAGCCTTATGTATTGTACTTTTGAAAAGTATTTGAAAGGTAATATCAGTATACAGAATTAATAATTCAAAACATCAGACTTCTAATGTAGTGAGCCAGAAATAAAATTGATGGAGAGAATTCGGAAACCCATGTGTCTCTCTGTATTCCTTATTTTGTTGTGGATGTTTCTTGTTTTAAGTCCTTCCTCCCATCAGGGAAATGGGACCTTTTTGCATAGCCTCATATACATGTGTACATCATACAAATGTCCACAATCATATGTAAATAACATACGTGTGTGTGTGTGTATGTGTATATATATATATATATATATATATATAAAGAGAGAATGAGTGTATCACATTTCACTTATCTGGAGGTCATATGTTTGGCAGTTACAGCTAATCTGATCACAGTTGAAAGCTGGGACTTAAGCAAAACTGACTTCTGAGATGTTCAAGGGGATGTAACATGGCTTCCTGCTATACTTTACTACTATACTTTGGTCTTCCTGTAGCAGACCCATTAATTTTATTATAGGTATTCAGACAAATTTTGCTGTTTTTTAGGTTACAGCCTATTTTAGCAGAGGATTAAAAAGTGAGTGGAGACAGGCACATTGTGACAGTAGTGACAATTGACAGCTGAGCCTGATAGCGGAAAAGGAGGTAGCAGTGGTATGTGAGTCACACATCGCAGAATGGGTACATTTGGCGTGAGGCAAAATCCCTACCCACCTGTAACCCCTAGGACTTCACTGTATCATAGATGAGTTCAGTATTAATTGTTTGTAATGGTTAACTGGAGGCCTCAAGAAAAAGTAGAATTTTGCTTGTGCACTCTTAATTCAGTATGTGGTCAGCGGACTGCATGTAACTCAGTTGATGGGATTGTTTGTTCAAAATACTGAATTCATCCCAGACGTACATCCCATTAGCCTAAAACTTGACAACTGTTGCTATAAGGCGATAAAGAAAACTATTTTCAGGAAGATAATTTGAGAAAGATTGTCAAAAACGGTAAAAAAGAAGAAAACTTTTTTTAGAATCTAAAACAGTTTCTTATCTGAGTATTACCATAATCATATATGCTTACTATGTGCTAAGCACTATACTATAATTATACTATGTTTATTTTGCTCAATATTGCCTCAGTACCTTTGAGGTGAGTTAATATTCCCATTTTTTAGATGAGGAACTCTAGAATGTGACTTAGCCAAGGTCACATAATTACAAGTGATAGAGGCTGAATCCAAGTCTAGACTAACTGAAAGCCCTCCTTAATTACCATCCCATATTACCTCTCTTGCTTATTAATTATATAATTAATATTTGCAGAGATGGTTGTTAAAGGAAGTGTTGAAAGCTTTATTTCTGTGAACATGAGGTCATTCTGAATGAGACCAAATAGTCATATCTTATAAGAATATTTGACCTTGGCTCTTGGATTGTTGTCCTCAAATTGAAATGTTATCTTACTTTAATTTTCCTTTTCTCAGACATATTTTGTCTGTAGTTTTGGCGTACTAGATTAATATTTTCTTTTTTTTTTTTTTGAGATGGAGTCTTGCTCTGTCGCCCCGGCTGGAGTGCAGTGGTGCAATCTCTGCTCACTACAAGCTCCGCCTTCCGGGTTCACGCCATTCTCCTGCCTCAGCCTCCTGAGTAGCTGGGACTACAGGCGCTCACCACCATGCCTGACTAATTTTTTGTTTTGTATTTTTTAGTAGAGACGGGGTTTCACCATGTTAGCCAGGATGGTCTCGATCTCCTGACCTTGTGATCTGCCCGCCTCAGCCTCCCAAAGTGCTGGGATTACAGGCGTGAGCCACTGTTGCCTGGCTGGCAATATTTTCGTAAGATTTTTGAGAGTGATTATTACACCCAGAAAGATAATCATAAAATTTAGTTTCTTTTTTTCTTTCTTTTTTTTTTTTTTGACACGGAGTCTCGCTCTGTCACTTAGGCTGGAGTGCCGTGGTGTGATCTCGGTTCACTGCAAGCTCCACCTCCCCAGCTCAAGCCATTCTCCCACCTCAGCCTCCCGAGTAGTTGAGACTACAGGCGCCCACCACCATGCCCGGGTAATTTTTCTGTATTTTTAGTAGAGATAGGGTTTCACCGTGTTAGCCAGGATGGTCTTGATCTCTTGACCTCGTGATCCATCTGCCTCAGCCTCCCAAAGTGCTGGGATTACAGGTGTGAGCCACCACGCCTGGCCAAAGTTTAGTTTCTTTTTATCTGTGTTCTATTTAACATAAGCATGAGCAACCAGTTTTTTCATCATTACTGGTTATTGACATTTCTCCTTTTTAGGGGGGTGGAATATTTATATAAATACTCAATCTGGGCTTGGTGGCATGTTCCTATAGTTCTAGCTACTTGGGAAGCTGAGGCAGGAGGATCACTTTAGCCCAGGAGTTTGAGACCAGACTGGGTAACATAGCAAGACTCTGTTTCTATTTAAAAATAAATACATACACAAAATATAAATACTCATTTTACTTAATTCAGTGAAAGAAGAGCAAAGGGTTTATCCCTAGAGTAATGAACATACAAACTAGTTGCTTTAGTATAAAAGTAACGTTTTAACTCAGTTAACATAGTTAGTCATGAAAGCATTGTTCTGAATACCCAATCCTTAAATGAATTTAGGCTGATTCATAAGAACCCTGGACCCTGCCTCTTCCTTGGGGCAAGGACTACCAGAGCCAAGGTCTGGGCCCTTAGTTAGGATCTCTGTTAATCTTGTTATTGCACAGGAACTCTGAGAGATCCAATGTGGAGATTCCAAATGCTGGTGCCTACAGTGTGAGGTACTCTTCTAAGCGTTGTGGATACAGTAGTGAATGAGCTGGAAATACTCATAAACTCTGTGTTATTGTGGAGCTTATATTTTAGTGATTGGAGACATTAAGTTAGCATTTAAATAAAAAATAAGATACTTTAAAATAGTGATAAGTAGTATAAAGGACATAAAGCATCGTCCTTGTTGGGGAATATGACAGCAGGGATTATTTTTCAGGGGTTACCCTAAGATGAGTGACCATAAAGTTTATTATCCAAATGGGACCCCTTTAGAGAGGAAATAGGGACATTTAAGATGGGGACCACATGTTGTGTTCCAGCCTGGGTGACGGAGCAAGACTCTGTCTTGAAAAAAAAAAAGATTAGGACAACAGTTATAAACCAGGACTCTCCTGGGCAAACCAGGCCACATGGTCACCCTCCTTTAAAAAGCTTACATTTGAGCTGAGACATTAGTGATGATAAGAAACCTGCAGTGAAGTCACCAGAGGCCAAGGAAGAGGAATGCTCCTTCAGAGGGAGGCCCAGACTGGGTGTGCTTTACTAGGTAATGTGTGCGGGAAGATAAAGCAGGTAAAAGTGTTGCCACAGCAGCCTTTGTACAGTCCAAGGGCCACCTTCACACTGTGCCTTTTTATGGCTCTTATATTCTTTTTTTTTTTTTTTTTTTTTTTTTTGAGATGGAGTCTTTCTCTGTCACCCAGGCTGGAGTGCGGTGGCGCGATCTCGGCTCACTGCAAACTCTGCCTCACGGGTTCAAGCGATTCTCCTGCCTCAGCCTCCTGAGTAGCTGGGATTACAGGCATGTGCCACCACACCTGGCTAATTTTTTATATTTTTAGTAGAGACAGGGTTTCGCCATATTGGCCAGGCTGGTTTAAAACTCCTGACCTCGTGATCCACCCGCCTCAGCCTCCCAAAGTGCTGGGATTACAGGCATAAGCCACCGTGCCCGGCTTATGGCTCTTATATTCTTAACGGACAGCCAAGAATCAAGTGAACAAGATGATTTCAGATAATGCTGTTTTAAAGGAAGTAAAATAGGATCATAGGAAACAATAATGAATTAAGGGGCATCTTTAGGTGTTGAATGGGGAATCTGATTAGGTGGGCGATAACCTATCAGATTTGGAACAGTCCAGGTAGTTTTTCAGAGATCCAGCGGTTTGGTGACATTTTAGTCAGCTTCCTCTTTTTTATGTAATCTTGTGAAATGAGCAGATTGAGTTGGGTGTGGAGATGGACCTGATCTGACAAAACATTTGGTTAGCAAAGGTTAGAATGGTGACCCTTTACATTTATATGACTTTTAAAAAATTGGTAAATTGGTGACTTTAAAAGTAAAAAATAAATTGCTGGTGTTAAAAAGCATGAGATTCAAGAAAAGATACAAATGAATATTTTTTTCTTAGTGTTTTATGTAGTTTCATCCTCATTTAAAGAATCACATTTTGCATGTGACTGAAGTCATGAACACTTACAAGAGCCTTTGGTTTTTAGTGATTTTTAATGTATACCTTAAATTCATAGGTGTTTTTATTTATAAGGACTTTGATGTATATTAGCTAATTTTTCCTTGAGATGTAAGAAGGATCCAGAATTTGTGAAATACTGATTTTAGAAATAGGAGAATTCCATAAGAGAATTCCCTAAAATCAAAATAAACTACTTTAGATATTCTTTAGATAGCCCTTTAAATCTCTTTTGGTCTGGAGTTCTAGGAGGCTGAACTTGTGAGTAGTATATTTGTTATATTTGTTTTTATTTTCTTAGCCAAGTAACCTGGGAAGCCTTAGTAATATTTTTGTTTTGTTTGTTTATTCATTAACAGTATTTGTAATTATGGTTCGGAAGTTGTAATAGTGTAAAATTTTCAAGGTGGGATTTTAAAAACCAGACCACATTTAGAAATTGATTCCTGATTGAGCTACCTTTTATGAACCCTAATAGTTCTTCTACCTTGGTTAGAAAAGTTGTTTGGTTGTCTTTTTTTTTTTGTTTTTTTAATGAGAATTTAGGACAGGACAGGATTTGGATGTGTTACGTATACATTTTATGCAGTGAAATTATTATTTAGTATTTATCCCTCAGTTTCTTCTTTGAGAGTAATTATCTAGAAATAAGTGAAGAAAATAGTTAAAAAGTTGTGTTGTCTTACAACATTTTCTGCTAGCTAGAAAGTAATTGCTGTAATCTAGCTTGTTTTATTTAGTAGAGTGTTACTTAGTACATGTATTTCTTTTTTTTTTTTTTTTTTTTTGGAGACAGAGTCTCACTCTGTCGCCCAGGCTGGAGTGCCGTGGCACGATCTCGGCTCACTGCAAGCTCCGCCTCCCGGGTTCACGCCATTCTCCTGCCTCAGCCTCTCCGGAGTAGCTGGGACTACAGGCACGCGCCACCACGCCTGGCTAATTTTTTGTATTTTTAGTAGAGACAGCGTTTCACCGTGGTCTCGATCTCCTGACCTCGTGCTCCGCCTGCCTCGGCCTCCCAAAGTGCTGGGATTACAAGCGTGAGCCACCGCGCCCGGCCTAGTACATGTGTTTCTATATTCTTTCTTCTAAAATATAGATTATGAAAATGAGAAAAACCAATGTACATTTGCTTTGGAACTACCCTCAGTAGATGCAGACTCTAAAGCAGTAGTTTCTTTTTTGAGATGGAGTCTCTCTCTGTCGTCCAGGCTGGAGTGCAGTGGCATGATCTCAATTCACTGCAACCTCCGCCTCCCAGGTTCAAGCGACTCTCCTGCCTCAGACTCCCGAGTAGCTGGTATTACAGGCACGCGCCATCACACCCAGTTAATTTTTTTGTATTTTTAGTAGAGATGGGGGTTTCATCATGTTGGCCAGGCTGGTCTCAAACTCCTGACCTCAAGTGATCCTCCTGTCTCGGCCTTCCAAAGTGCTGGGATCACAGGCATGAGCCACTGTGCCCGGCCATGAAAGCAGTAGTTGCATTTAGTTTATATATACGTATCATTGCCTTTCTTGGCCTAGAGAAAAACTACTGTTTTCACATGACCTCTTCCGAATTCTAATAATGCAGAGCTATATGCCTGTTCGTGTATTGGTTGGTGTGTACAGTTGTTTTACTTTGGTACCATTGAATGCCATGTATTCAGTCTATTTTATAGTATGTTTTTGTAGTGTTTTCAAAAATAATTACTAAGCTATTTTTTTAGGCATGTTTAATGTGTTTACAACAATTGATATGAAGAAAACTGTACTTGAGCATCTTAATTCTAAAGGGAAAGTAAAATTGTTTGAATTTTATACCCTGAAATGTAATTGTATTAAGTGAACAAATTATTTTTTCCAGGCAGACTCCAGGTTAAAAGCGCTTAATGCAACATTCAGAGTGAAAAACCCAGACAAGTAAGGTTTTGTTTTAATAACAGTTACAATGTTGTTTTGAATGGTGCTATCAATCTATTTAATTTTTCATTTCTGAATGTATGCACTTTATTTGCTAAATAGTTTACATATTCACATTTAGTGAAATCCTTTTAAAGTCTAAAACTGAATTTGAAATTTGATAACTTGATTGGGGGTATGATTGTGACTGAAGTTTTATAAAATTAAACCATTGCTTTTTTCTAGAAGGGTTTGTTAAGTGTTGCAGATATCAGAAAAATGAGAAAAGTAATTTTAATTTTATAGTTTTCCTTATATGATTTTGCTTGTTAAATATGCACAGCTCAAGATAAGAAAATTATATACTTTTTACATATACTTAATAATGAACCGTCTAGTTTGTATACCAAGAAAATTTCACGAAGGTATATGACAAATACTTGATTTTATTAATATCAGCTAGTATTTGTGAGAGCATTTCCATATTAAAAGAAGCCAGTGTATTCAGAAATTACTTAACATGGGGTGGGACCTATGTATTTAAGATTTTGGTTTTGCTTAATCTTTAAATTTGGTGGATAATTCAAACTCTACATTATATGGACCTTTACTTGGCAATTTGGTTCAGTTAGAGTTTTTTAATTGGATATGTGCTTAGGCAGATGAGGCTTTTTTGTTTTGGAGGACCAAATTTATGAGATCTGTTAGAATTTCTCTAGTGAATCCTTCAGCACTAATTTCTACATTGTGTAAATTCTTATCAGACAAAGGTGGGGTCTGCATATTCTGATGACCTATTATGCCTGACTTTATAAACCATAACATATTAACAAAATGCCCCTGATTTTTCATATAAATTTTGAATATAAAATCTAAATGAATATTTTTAAATTTTGGTAATTAGGAGGTTGTGATGGTAACTTGAGTTTTTTCATTTTCATTTTTTTATTTTTTGAGGCAGAGACTTGCTCTGTCGCCCAGGCTGGAGTGTAGTGGCGTGATCCCTGCTCACTGCAACCTCTG
This sequence comes from Homo sapiens, assembly GCF_000001405.40. Classification (NCBI taxonomy): domain Eukaryota; kingdom Metazoa; phylum Chordata; class Mammalia; order Primates; family Hominidae; genus Homo; species Homo sapiens. The sequence continues at coordinate 125,488,405 of NC_000003.12, read as the reverse complement.
CCTCCCGGGTTCAATCAATTCTCCTGCCTCCGCCTCCCGAGTAGCTAGGATTATAGGCACCCCCTACAACGCCCAGTTAATTTTCGTATTTTAGTAGAGATGGGGTTTTGCCGTGTTAGCCAGGCTGGTCTCAAACTCCTGACTTCAAGCAATCCACCCGCCTTGGCCTCCCAAAGTTCTGGGATTACAGGTGTGAGCCACCATGCCTGGCCTTTTTTTTTTTTTTTTTTTTTAATAGACTATTTTTTTTTTTACAGCAGTTACAGGTTTAGTAGAGTTAGCAAAATTGAGTGGAGTATACAGAGAATTCCCAAATACCTTCTCTCCACACCCCTCCCCATTGACCTGTCACAGCCTCCCTAACTATCAGCATCCCACACCAGAGAGCTGTGTTTGTTACAGTTGATGAACCTACATTGAAACAGCATTATCAGCAAAGACCATCATTTATGTTAGGGTTCACACTTGGTGTTGGGCAGTTTTTGAGTTTGGACAAATGGATAATGACGTGTATCCACCATTATCATTTTATACAGAATAGTATTACTGTCCTAAAAATCCTCTCTACTGCACCTGTTCATCTCCTCCCTCAACCCCTGGGAATCACTGATCTTTTTATTATCGCTATAGTTTTGTTTTTTTTTTTTGGAATGTCACATCATATACAGTATGTCAACATTGAGATTGGCTTCTTTCACTTAATTTGCATCTATGGTTCCATTGAGGTTTTTATAAGTATTATACTAACATGCATGGTATATAAGAGGTGTTCTCTAGATTAAGAACTAAAATTATAAGTCACCCTCAAAAAAAGCTCTGGAAAACTTAGTAAGCTAAGTGTATGACTTTGGTGGCTGTACATCCATTAGAGAATCGTTTTTGATTGATATTTTGATAATATTTTTGATTAATACTAGTATTTTGTCAATTAGTATTTTTCAGTTGAATGAAAAATATTTTGTCAATTGAATGTTTTTCCTCCCTTTTCTGACCCAGCCAGGTTTTCTGAACTGCTGAATTTTATTTACTATCCATATTGTGTGTAGAATTTTAAGTTTAATATGACCAATAATGTCACCAAGGCAGTTTTTTTGCCCTTATGTTCTTGCTAAAGTGTATAATTGCTGTGTAATTAGTAACAGGATTTGTTTGTCTTAAATTCTGGATAATTGTGTATATTGGTCATTGTTATATCAGATTCTTAATATGTAGAATCTCTTCTAGATCTAGCTGTTACAATAGATTTTTTATATTATTAAAATATATTACTAAAATAGTTTTGTTATTTCCTAAAATTCAGAAAACCAGAAAGATTGTTTTAGAGGGATTACAAAGTGATTCTTCTAGTACTCGCTTCATTCATGTTTATCTTTCCTCAAACTAGACTGTTAAGAGCAAGTGAGTGGGAGGGCCTGGAGTCTTCTACTTTTATGTGGCCTTAGGTACTCTGTAAATGCTTTCTTTTGCATATTGGATTGCATATACATATATATGTATACACACACATATATATATATTTTTGAGATGCAGTCTCACTGTGTTGCTCAGGCTGGTCTGGAACTGCTGGGCTCAACAATCCTCCGCCTCAGCCTCTAGAATAGCTGGAACTACATGTGGATGCCACTGTGCCTGGCTTGTATATTTTTCTTAAAAGAGATGTGCCCAAGGTCTATCTCCATTTATTGAGCATCTTATATTGTTGCAAATAAACTAAACCCACTAAGTCAAAATCTAGGTGGTAAACTGACCAGATTATATAAGTAACGTACTCTCTTTTTTTGAGACGGAGTCTCTCTGTGTTGCCCAGGCTGGAGTGCAGTGCTGCTATCTCAGCTCACTGCAAGCTCCGCCTCCCAGATTCACGCCATTCTCCTGCCTCAGCCTCCTGAGTAGCTGGGACTATAGGCACCCGCCACCACGCCCGGCAATCTCCTGTCCCTAGTAGAAATAAACAATACTAACCACTCATGTACTGTGCTACATTGCATAGTAGAAGTTTCATCTAATGTGGCCAGTTTTTCTTGGCTGAAAAAAAAAAATCTATGTAACTTAACTTATACGTAAAGTGATAGTTTTTTTCTTTTAAAAGAAAACCAGTTAGATAATTGAGGTTGTGATACGTTGAGGTTATTCCTCGAGCTTCTAAATATCAGGTTATATCATTTTGTTATGCTGAGTTTGGGGCAGGAAGTATGGATAGAGAAAAATCTATATAGTGAGTTTTCTTCAAGGAGCTCGAGGTACATCGTATTAAGAATGCTTACAGAGGCCAGGTGCGGTGGCTTACGCCTGTAATCCCAGCATTTTGGGAGGCCGAGGTGGGTGGATCACGAGGTCAGGAGCTCGAGACCCACCTGGCCAACATGGTGAAATCCCGTCTCTACTAAAAATACAAAAATCAGTTGGGTGTGGTGGGGCACACCTGTAATCCCAGCTACTCAGGAGGCTGAGGCAGGAGAATTGCTTGAACCCGGGAGGCGGAGGTTGCAGTGAGCCAAGATCGCGCCATTGCACTCCAGTCTGGGCAACAGAGCAAGACTCCGTCTCAAAAAAACAGAATGCTTACAGATAGGGAGGCAAGAACCAAAGTGTAGAAACTAGAAGAAGAGGAGGGTGGGGAGTGGACTGTCATTTATGATTTCTCACAGTCACTCAGACTACAGTTTCTTTTCTTTCAGGGCTTTATCTTAGGTAATAGTTGCACAAGTTGTAAAGAAGCATAAGACAATCTGTATGGCTTGATTTATTTTCAGTATAATAGCTAGGTAGAGAAAACTACAGCCGTATGCAAATATGAACTCCAAATAAGGCCGGGCACGGTGGCTCATGTCTCTAATCCCAGCACTTTGGGAGGCCAAGGCAGGCGGATCACTTGAGGCCAGGAGTTCAAGACCAGCCTGGCCAACATAGTGAAACCCTGTCTCTACCAAAACTACAAAAATTAGCCAGGCATGGTGGCACATGCCTGTAATCCCAGCTACTTGGGGGGCTGAGGCACGAGAATAACTTGAACCAGGAAGGTGGAGGCTGCAGTGAGTCGAGATTGTGCCAGTGCACTTCAGCCTGGGTGGCAGAGTGAGACTCTGTCTAAAAAAAAAAGGAAAGCCATATAAAATAGATAAGTTATACCCCAAGCTGTGTTTTTGCCTTTGTTGTTTTTGAGACAAAGTCTTGCTCTGTTACCCAGGCTGGGGTGCAGTGGTGTGATCTCAGCTCACTGCAGCCTCGACCTCCCAGGCTCAAATGATCCTCCCATCTCAGCCTCCCATGTAACTGGGACTATAGGCAAGTGCCATCAAGCCTGGCTGGCTGGTTTTTTGTTTTTGTTTTTGTTTTTTTTTGGAGATGGAGTCTCACTCTCGCCAAGCTGGAGTGCAGTGGCGTGACCTTGGCTCACTGCAACCTCCGCCTCCCGGGTTCAAGCAATTCTCTCTGCCTCAGCCTCCCAAGTAGCTGGGATTACAGGCGCCCACCACCACGCCCAGCTAATTTTTGTATTTTTAGTAAAGACGGGGTTTCACCATGTTGGCCAGGCTGGTCTCGCACTCCTGACTTCAGGTGATCCACCCGGCCTGGCTAATTTTTTGTACTTTTTGCAGAAACAGGGTCTCACCAGCTCAGGCTGGTCTCAAGTGATCCTCCCACCTTGGCCTCCCAAAGTGCTGGGATTACATATGTGAGCCACTGCACCTAGCCATGTTTTTGCCTTTAAGATTGGAGAGAAGCATTCTCAAAAAGCCTTGATGGAGGGTCTTTTCAACATGAGTCTTGAGAAATGGATGACATCTGATTAGGAGAGGCACCTGTCCAGGCTTACTTACTAAAAGTATGTTAAAGAATATGGAGAATAAGGCCAGACATGGTAGCTCACACCTGTAATTCCAGCACTTTGAGAGGCCAAGGTGGGCAGATCACTTGAGGTCAGAAGTTCGAGGGCAGCCTGGCCAACATGGTGAAACCCCGTCTCTACTAAAAGTATAAAAATTAACCAGGTGTGGTGGCACATACCTGTAATCCCAGATACTCGGGAGGCTGAAATGGGAGAATCACTTGAACTCAAGGGGCAGAGGTTGCAGTGAGCCAAGATCGTGCCACTGCACTCCAGGCTGGGTGATAGAACTAGACCCCTTCTCAAAAAGAATATGGAAAATAAAGGGAAGCATAAAGCCTGTAATGGCAATAGGTGTACTTTGAGGAGAATAGAAAATATGGCTGATTCAGGCCATAGGACATATTGGGTTTGGATATAGACAACCTCAAACTAGAGTCTTATCAGAGTCTGCATTTACACGTTCACTTTTGCATGTCTCTAAGACAGGGATTTTAGATAGATAGTATTTCAGGAGGGAAGTTTTATGTCACCATCTTCCTAGTATGGACTGTCCTCTTTTTAAACTCCCTGTTTTCAAGTGAAACTGCAACATTCTGACGTTATATATGATTTTTAGTCTTTAATATTTCTCTAAGAACACCTAATCATTTATGATAAGATTCCTCATTTTAATATGCAGACATTCTAGATTTTGACTTGGGCTAAGAAGTTATACCCTCGTTTTCAGAAAATTCATTCCTTTATTTCTTAAACATACATTGTTATCTAAGACTTGATGAATTTTTCACTCTTCACCTTTAGGTCTTCTGATTTCCCAGTAATTGTGATTTTTTTCAAAGGTGCACATCTGTCTCTGTCCCCTAGGTGTTTAGAATCTTTTAGCTCTGACTTTCTGGTGATGTGATCACCTGGGGATGATTTGTGTTGTCACTCCTCTCCCCTCACAAGAGATTGTACCAATGTGTTAATCAAACAGAGAAACTTTAGTGTGCCTTTTATGTTCTGTGACCAAAGGTGTTAAGACCTTTCAACTCCAGAAACCTCTGCTTCACCTAATTTAAGTATTCTGAGGCTTACTGTTTATATTCTTATACATTTCTCATATCCAAATATGACAGCTAAGAATTTTGTAGTCATGCCAGATCCTGAGTATGGAAGCTGACAAAGAAACATTTTTAGGGGACCTAATCAGTTCTGGAGAAGCTCCAGAAGACCTGATCTTTAGAATTTCTAGCTCCTGGGACCCAGCACAGGAAGATCTGATCAGAGTTTAACAAAGTATTAGCCTCTTGAAACTTAAGTTCAAATCATAAAACTTCTAAGGGAAAATTGTACCAGCTCAGTTGTAACTGGCTCTACGTAAAGAAAGCCGCTCACAGTTATCTGAGATTTTATATATTTATATAAAATACATATTTATATATATTTATATATAAATTTAATTTTATTTAAATGTTTTGGAGTACATAATATATTCTTATGGTTAACCAGATATATATGTAGATTGATAAGTACGGAAAAGTTGTACAGTGAAAAGTCTCATTCCTGTTCCTCTCTATCCATTTCCCCTCCCCAGAGAGTAACACCATGTTAGTTTTTAGGTTTATATTCCTTCAAAGTTTTATCCTACAAATGCAAGTGTACATTTTCCACCTTCCATCTTGGATATAAAGGGAGATTTGTACTCTACTTAATTGGGAGCCAATCTTGCCAACTCTTTTATCCCTAAATTATTTTCCTTGCTGAAAAACACTGCCCTGGGGGAGTAAGAGTGGTTAAGTATTTTATCTAGTGATTTGATGTCCTCAACTTCACCACTGCCTCTTTATTTCAATGAACCACAGTAACTGAATACTTGGGGACTGTGAAAAGTTTTTTAAGCCACATTACAGAGTTTGAACTTTGTCTCAGGATCAGCGGATAACCTTTGCAGTAGAAAGCTGCTTAAAAGCAAGGGGGTGGTATAGATTTGGACTTTGGAAGATCATCCAAGCAGAGTGGACAGTAGATTAGAGGAGTGTGGGAGTGGGCTAGGAGGCCAGTCAGGAGGACTGGTGAGAGATGATGATGCTAATCTGAATTTAGGGCATTGGCAGAGAGACCAGAGAAAAGTGAGTGGATTGGGGCAATGTTTAGGAGGTAGAATCAACAGACTGGGCAATTAGTGGAATGTATGAGGTGAAGGAGAGGAGAAGGAAATACAGATGCACTCAGGTTTTCATTCTTTAGAGTGCAAGGGAGCACAAGGGAAAGATTTGAGGAGTAGTGGAAGATAGGTTGAGCTTTGGCTATGGAAGCAAGTACAAATGTCTACTAAATCAGTTGGTTTTATAGATCTGGAGTTAAGAGAGATTTGGGCTGATGGTAGAAATTTGGAATTTAGCAATATGTAGATCATAATCGTGAAGCTTTGTGAATGACAAGTCACATAGGAATGTATAGATTGAAAGACTGATTGGAAGATAGCTGAGGACCCAGGACTGAACCTTGAAGAAAGCCAGCACTTTAAGGATGTTTTCAAAGTATAACTACCTGAGGTCAGCTGGGCATGGTGATGCCCATATGTAGTCTCAGCTGTTTGGGAGGCTGAGGCAGGTGGATCAAGGGCTGCAGTGAGCTAGGATCAAGCCACTGCATTCCAACCTGGGTGACACAGTACTGGGCCTTTAAAAAAAAAAGAAGGAAAGAAAAATAAAGTATAACCTGAGGACTACCAGCATGTGAATCCTGTGGATGAGCTATAAAATTCAGATTCAGATTCCTGAGTCCCACGAGGACCTTGATGTATTCACATCCCTCTGAGAGACCATCAGTAGTGTTTTTAAGAAACATTTCGACCAGGCATGGTGGCTCACGCTTGTAATCCCAGCACTTTGGGAGGCCAAGGCAGGCGATCACCTGAGGTTGGGAGTTCAAGACCAGCCTGACCAACATGGAGAAACCCTGTCTCTACTAAAGAGAGACGGGTGTGGTGGTACATGCCTATAATCCCAGATACTCGGGAGGCTAAGGCGGGAAAACTGCTTGAACTCGGGAGGCGGAGGTTGTGGTGAGCCAAGATTGCGCCATTGCACTCCAGTCTGGGCAACAAGAGTGAAACTCTGTCTCAAAAAAAAAAAAAAAAAAGATTTCAGGAATTTTTTGCAGACTACAGTTGGAGATATAAGAGATGGGTGAAGGAAGTGAGTACTACAAAAGAAGCTTCAGGAGTGACCAGAGAGTGAAATGAAAGCCATGAGAAAATAATACTGACAAGGAAACAGATTTTTGAGGAGGAGGATGATGTCAGCTGTTGCATTGCCAAAAGGATCAAGTAAGAGGAGAACTAAGATTGATCACTGGATATTACAACATGAAAATAGTTGGTGACTTTGTCAGGAATATTTCCCTACTATATAGTGCTGGAGGCAGAAGCTAGATTCTCATAGGCTGTGCAGTATATGGGAATGGAAGAAGTGGTTATTGCTGGGGAAGTGATGCCTTGTGAAAGCTTGGCTATAAAAGGGGTGGATATTGACAGGGTGTTAATAGCTGGGTGTGTTGTCAAGGGAGTGTGTATTTTAATCTATGAGAGACCTGAGTTAATTGATATGCTGATGAGAAGAAGTTTATAGAGATAGGAAGTCAGGAAACAGGAATATGGGGTGTAGCTGGAATGGAATCTAGAGCGTTAGATGGGAAGAAATCCTAGTGGGAGGGAAAAAATGATGTAGATATGGGGAAGTGTGTAAGTTGATTGGCAGGAGGTAGAGGTGGGAGTCGTTCCCATCTGATGGTTTTTGTTTATCTGTGAAGCTTGGTTGTTTGGAGAATGACAGATGGTGCATCAGAAGTTTTTGGTCCTTATGGAAAATGGCAGTTAATAGATGAGGGAAGCAAATTACTTGAGCAGAATTAAGATTGAGGTTAGAGACCATGAGTTTATGATTGCACCATAATGTATCTTTTAGCTCCTTAAAGTTTTTCCTGTTTTGTATTTTCAAAGTAGTTTTTCATACCAACAGATTTTTTTTACCTATCTCAGTTCCACGAGGTAAATTATGAAGTGTGATATCTTGACTTTCAAAATATCAACAGAAAATATCATTTTATTTTAGAGTTTTTTGGATTTATATTGGTGTGTAAATGTTTAAGGCCAGCATATGGTTAAATAGAATCAGTTTTGTTATTGTCGGGAACTACTGTTTTTTTCTTTCAGTTTTTGACTGCTTGTTTTCATTTGAAAAACGATGTTTTATTTGTTTCCTGTTTCAGGAGATTTACTGACCTTAAGCACTATAGTGATGAACTGCAGTCTGTCATCTCACATCTTCTTCGAGTCAGAGCTGTAAGTGGTCCCCAAAAGCTTTTTGATGCACATGCATAAGGAAGTGCTTCTCATGTAATCATTCTGTTTTCAAGTAGTAGGTGGTATTTACCATGAATAACTGATTTTTGCATTTGAATTTATATGTTCATCATCCAAACTGCACTTTTTAAAAAAATGTGCAATGGTTTCTGTCATAAACAACTCACTTAGCCTGTTTTCTCTCCATGGTTTGTAATAGAATAGTTGTTTTGGATGTTATCAAAAGGCCTGCCATTTCAGTGCTGGAATGTAAATAAGTGTAGGATTTTAGATCTACACATCATATTCTTTCATGTTTTTTTTAAAGGTCCGTGAAATAGTTTATAGGTGTTAGGCCATCCTGTGTCTGTGCTCTTAAATTCTACCAAATAAACTAATTTCAGATAATAGTCTGCCATGACAAAAGGGACTAGAAATCAAGGAATAATAATTATACTTAACCATATAGTTCAGCTGTAATAGGCAAAGAGGGAAATACTTCTCAGTAAATTAATGTACCTGGAAAATGTACCATCCGCTCTGGTCTCTTGTGGCAACCTAGAAGGAACCTTAGAACATGCCTGTGCCAAAGGCATTGAAAGAGACTAGGATACCAGGTAAGGTCACATTTTATGCTGATTGGAATCTGGAATCCTCTTTGTTGTTATTATTATTATTATTATTATTATTTTGAGATGGAGTCTCGCTCTGTCACCCAGGCTGGAGTGCAGTGGCACAATCTCAGCTCACTGCAACCTCCACCTCCCGGGTTCAAGCAGTTCTCCTGCCTCAGCCTCCTGAGTAGCTGGGATTACAGGCATGCAGCACCATGCCTGGCTAATCTTTATTTTTAGTAGAGATGGGGTTTCACCATGTTAACGAGGCTGGTCTCGAACTCCTCCTGGCCCCAAGTGATCTGCCCACCTCAGCCTCCCAAAGAGCTGGGATTATAGTCATGAGTCACCATGCCTGGCCAGAATCCTCTTGAAATGAAATATATTGCCTGGAATTTGTTTTAATAAGAGTCCACCGATGAGCAGTGGAGAGTGGGGGCAGTTTTAGGAGAAATGAGTTTGGCTATATAGTAATTACTGAAGCTGGGTGTTGAGAAATGGAGGTATATCCTTCTGTTCTATATGCTTTTTGTATGTTTCAAGATTTCCATGACAGTACAGAAAAAATACAATAAAGGAAAAAATTCTTCTGAAGGTCTTATATTGTCTTGATCTCCCGTTTAACTGTTCAAGAGTATCGTTGGACTCTTTGAATAAATTATAAGATACCTTCTCATAAAAGTTACCTGCGAGAATTATTAGGCTAGAGTCAAGAACTGGGTATTAGAAAGGACTGTGGATTAATGAGATAAAATTTGTGGACCTTTGGTTGCCTAGAAATTACCCAGACAAATTAGGCAATAGTTCTCGTGGGAGGTGCAGATGGGGGACAAACATTCAGAGAGTCTGCATCGTACCCTCACATTGCTTCTAGTTTTTTTTTTTTCTTAAGTGGTTTTTCAGCAACTTCTCTTTTCTTCCATGCTTAATATCTTAGTAGAGGATGAATGCTCAGCTTTTAGGAAGGAGGTTTGGTATCTAAAAGTACAGGGATCTAGAAAAGTTAGTGTTAGAATGACATTTTCCATCATATATTCTCTGGAATGCTAACCCTGTAAGATGTTCCCTACTGCAAACCGTATCTCCCTTGAGCAGTCATGATTCATATGTGGTGTTAAAGGTCTAAAAGGTCCTACAGAAAAAAAACTGTTAAATTTTATTGTCTCAGTGTTTCCCAACCTTACTTGATGATGGAACCACTTAAAAAAAAAAAAGAAAAGAAAAACATTCAACACTGCACAGACTGCTCAAAAAATACTTGGGGGCCAGGCACAGTGGCTCGTACCTGTAATCCCAGCACTTTGGGAGGCCAAGGTGGGCAGATCATTTGAGGTCAGGAGTTTGAGACCAGCCTGACCAGCATGGTCTTTACTAAAAATACAAAAACTAGCTGGGCGTGGTGGTGCATGCCTGTAATCCCCACTACTCGGGAGGCTGAGGTGGGATAATCGCTTGAACCCAAGAGGCAGAGATTGCAGTGAGCTGAGATCGTGCCACTGTACTTTAGCCTGGGAGACAGAGTGAGACTCCGTCTCAAAATAATAATAATAATAATAATAGTAATAATAATAAGAAGAAGAAGAAGGAGGAGGAGGAAATGACATCCTAGAGAAATTAGTTTAGAGGTCTGGGGACAACCTGTAAGAGTTTCAAGTAGGAGTAGGACTATGAACTTTGTCCTGAAAGCTGGTTCTAATGTAGGGGCCAGCATCTTGTTTCTGAAGGCCAGATGGGAGGTGTTTTCAGCTTTGTTAGCTTTATGGTTTCTGTTGCATCTATTCAGCTCCACTGTGAACCTGACAGTGCTCCAGTGAGACTCTGTTTACAAAACAAGTGGCAGACCTGTAGTGTGTTAACCCCTAGTCTAGTGGGTACGTGTTTCCTCAGAGCAGGCCAACAATAGATGGAAAACATTTTATGATCCTCATACACCTACTTGAAGTATTTGCAGTGGCGGTTCTGTCACTGTAAGATGAGATCTTGAAAGGGTTGATTTGTTCTATCATTAATGTCTAATTCCTCATACTCATGTTTGAGTAAGGAATCAGGGAGCTAATTTATCCTTAGAGCTTATACTTAGAAACTGTATACCAGAAATTTTTTCTAGAGCTTTTTGTAGGATGAGCCTTTGGTCTTCCAGTTTGTTTTCATAATGCTTTGGGGGAACGTAAAGCAAATTAATTACCATATTGAGGTTTTGTTTTAACTTGTAAAATTTCTGTGAATGGCTAGGCAGTACACATTTCAGTGATGTAAATTGTAATTCTGTTGTTATTAAAATAATGTGTTCGTTGGTTAGGAGTTATCTTTTGACAAAGTAGCATAGAAGTATATGCATGTATTCAGCATTTATATATAAAACTATATCTCAATAGAATTGAAAATGTATCCGTTCCCTTGGTTAATTCCACTTTGGGGATTTTATTATAAGGAAACAATCTGAGGGAAAAAGGCTTATTCTCAGAGATAACTTTTTATAATACTGAAAAATTAAGAATAACTGAATCCCAACAAGATTATTCAACAAGGAATGCTTGTATGTCTTATATACTACTTAGTGGAATTTTATGCAACTATTTATAGTGGTATTTATTAAATACCTGATGGGTAAGCATATTACCACTCTTGCTGTAGGCAATTTAAAAACAGTAATTAAAAACTTTGCAGAAAAAGAAGTACAAAAGTATAAGATATGATAAATATGGTAAGAGCACTGGTTTTAGTTTTAGGGGGATGGGATTTTTGGAGATTACTATTTTTCTTTTTTCTATTTCCAAGTTTATTGTAGTAAGCATGTTTTTTGTTTTTTGGGTCTATTTTTTAGATGAGGATATAACTTTGACCTAAAAGCAATTTCTATTAAATATTTATTTCAGAGAGTAGCAGATCGACTCTATGGTGTATATAAAGTACATGGGAATTATGGTCGAGTTTTCAGGTAAGCATCATACAAACTTTAAAAATAATTAGCTTTAATTACCTTTTTGCCTGAAAACAATAATTCTTGAACATTTATGAGTGTGGAGAGAAGATTATTTCTTTTTTTGTTTGTTTTTGTTTTTTGAGATGGAGTTTCTTTCTTGTCACCCAGGCTGATGCAATGATGTGATCTCGGCTCACTGCAACCCCCGCCTCCTGGGCTCAAGTGATTCTCCTGCCTCAGCCTCCCCAGTAGCTGGGATTACAGGCATGCGCCACCACACTGGGCTAATTTTGTATTTTTAGTAGAGATGGGGTTTCACCGTGTTGGTCAGGCTGGTCTCGAACTCCTGACCTCAAGTGATCTGCCTGCCTAGGCCTCCGAAAGTGCTGGGATTACAGATATAAGCCACTGCACCCAGCCCTTTTTTTTTTTTTTTTTTTTTTTGAGATGGAGTCTTGCTCTGTCGCCCAGGCTGGAATGCAGTGGCGCAATCTCAGCTCACTGCAACCTCTGCCTCCTGGTTTCAAGCAGTTCTCTGCCTCAGCCTCCCAAGTAGCTGGGATTACAGACACCTGCCACCACACCTGGCTATTTTTTTGTATTTTTAGTAGAGATGGGATTTCACCATGTTGACCAGGCTGGTCTTGAACTCCTGACCTCGTGATCCACCCGCCTCGGCCTCCTAAAATGCTGGATTACAGGTGTATGCCACTGCACCCGGTTTTTTTTTTAATACAGGGTCTCACTTTGTCACCGAGGCTGGAGTGCAGTGGTGTAGGTCTTGGCTCACTGCAACCTCTGCCTCTCAGGCTCTAGTGATCCTCCTGCTTCAGCCTCCCAAGTAGCTGAGACCACAGACACACATCACCATGCTCTGCTACTTTTTGTATTTTTTTGCAGAGATGGGACTTTACTATGTTGCCCAGGCTGATCTTGACCTCCTGAGCTCAGGTGATCCATTGGCTTCGGCCCCCCATAGTGCTAGGATTACAGACATGAGTCACCATGCCTGGTCCCCTACTTCGGATTATTAAAAAATTTTCTCAGCCAGGCGTGGTGGCTCATGCCTATAATCCCAGCACTTTGGGAGGCCAAGGCGGGTGGATCACCTGAAGTCAGGAGTTTGAGACCAGCCTGGCCAACATGGTGAAACCTCATCTCTACTAAAAATACAAAAATTAGCCAGGCATGGTGGTGGGCTCCTATAATCCCAGCTACTCAGGAGACTGACTCAGGAAAATCGCTTGAACCCAGGAAGTGAAGGTTGCAGTGAGCTGAGATCACACCAGTGCACTCCAGCCTGGGCGGCAGAGTGAGACTCCATCTCAAAAAATGAAAAAAATTTTTTCTCAGGTGGTGGGTTCTAGGTGGGAAAAAAAATTCTCATTTCTTCTGTATTTTGTGGTTTCATAAATTTTTGATTCAGCTATAATTTATTTGAATGTAAGATGTGAGATAGAGATTTAAATTTATTTAATTCATTTATTAGAGTAGTAGGTTATCCATATGTCTTTGGTTGATCAATACATTAAAATTAAATGTCAGTTGAGACAGATCAAGGTTATATGACTTTTTTAATTAAAAGAAGCTTATTGATATTATAAAAATGTAAACTCTTCATAACTAGGACCAGGGTCTATGAAAATATATGGTCAACTGTAAAAGAATAGTATAATGGGAAGAAAGACAAATAGTATTATACGTTTTGAAGTCTACCTCATACTGTCTGACTTAATATTAATTGCTTTTAGTTTTATGCACAAGTCATCTCTAATTTTTAGTATTACTCAAACTGGAACCCAATTAAGCTTGGGAACAATGCTTATTTAAAAACAAAAATTATATCCCATAGGAGACATGTGGGGGGGAATTAACATAAACTAAACATTCTCAAAGGTAGCACATTTATTATAGTTAATAAATGAACTTTTTAATTAATTTGAGAGGCAGGTAGACAAAAGATCAATTGGTTGAATCAAACTTTAAAGAAAATTATTTGCATTAATGCCACATGATAAATATTGTACAGGTTTGTTTTTTTTGCCAGCTTAATAAATTATTAGAAAGCCACTTTACATTTAAAAAATTTCATGAGGCTGGATGTGGTGGCTCTCATCTGTAATCCTAGCACTTTGGGAGGCCAAGGAAGGAGGATCACTTGAGGCCAGGAGTTCAAGACAAGCCTTGGCAACATAGCAAGACCCCATCTCTACAAAAATAGTTTAAAAATTAGGCATGGTGGCACATGCCTATAGTCCTAGCTGCTTGGGAGGCTAAGATGGGAGGAACACTTGAGCCCAGGAGTTCAAGGTTATAGTGAGCTATGATCACACCACTGCACTCCAGCCCAGGTGACAGAGCAACACCCTGTCTCTCAAAAAAATAAAAACAAAAATAGATAATAAATAAAAACATCTTACGACAACTGAGCCAGAAAGACCAGAGGTGGTTGAGGTAATTTAATCAAGACCTGAACTACAGCAGTTGCCAGTGAAGAATAAAGAGACCTAAATGATAGACTTACCAGTGGATTTTTTTCAGTCATTCAGCATACGGTAACTGAGCTCCTGTTACCATGGTAGGTGCCAAGAATACCAAGATTTAATTTAGGGCAGTTGAGTGCCTAAGGATTTGTGATAGAGAATGTAGGTGGAATGGTGGGTTTGAGGGATGAGGTTGAGGGTTCTCATGTGGATAAATTGCATTCTAACTAAAGATTTTTATTAAGCAGTTAGAAATTTGGATCAGGAATTTAAGAAGCTAGTGAGAATATGAGTTGTATATATAAAGTGTGTCCTTATAGAGTGATTTTTTAAAACATAGAGTTAGTTGATAATATTAGAGGGTTAGAGCAAGTCTACAAGAGACTCAAGGGAATATCTGCGTTCAGGGATCAGGCAAGAAATTGATGAGGAACATGGAGTATTCAAAGTCAAGCAAGTGAAGGGAACACTTCAATAATGCTTGGAGTTATACTGTAGAGAAATTGAATTTAGGCCAGGCACAGTGGCTCATGCCTGTAATCCCAGCACTTTGAGAGGCCGATGCGGGCAGATCACTTGAGGTCAGGAGTTCAAGACCAGCCTGGCCAATATGGTGAAACCTCATCTCTACTAAAAATACAAAAATTAGCCGGGCATGATGGCGTGTGCCTGTAATCCCAGCTACTTGGGAGGCTGAGGTGGGAAAATTGCCTGAACTAGGAGGTGGAGGTTGCAGTGAGCCGAGATTGTGCTGCTGCACTCCAGCCTGGGTGACAGAGCAAGACTCCATCTCAAAAAAAAAACAAAAAAGAGAATTGAGTTTAGATGAGAAGGGGGAAAATGGGTAAGTACATCTTTGGTGTTAATTTGGAAAGCAGTTTAAGTGGTATGATGTTATGTCCTAGTGATCTAGGAATAAGAGGAAAGGATTAAGGAAGGAAAGACAGCAAGTTATTGATTAGTCTTTTAAGAAAGTCCCTACTCATGGATGTGAAGATGGCAACAGTAGACACCGGGAACTGCCAGAGCGGGGAGGGAGGGTGGAAGGAGACAAGGGTTGACAAACTAACTATTGGGCGCTGTGCTCACTGTGTGGGTGATGGGCTCATTTGTATCTGAAATCTTCACACCATCCAGTGTACACATGTAACAAACCTGCACATGTACATGTACTTCCTGAGTCCAAAATAAAAGTTGAATTTTTTTTTTTCAAAAGTGCCTGAGGAAAAAGATGAACTGTGGTTATTTTTGAAGGGTAATAAGACTTTTTTGAGAAGAGGCTGGGGCTGGGGTGGGATGGTGGACAGGGGAGGGATAGGAGCATGGACAAGGGAGAAGATAGGGAAGGTGCAGAGCTGTCTTAAGGCAGGGGAGAGGTGAGTTGTAGAAGGCACCGTGAAGTAGGTATCTTTTTTGAGAACAAGTTTGTGTAATTGTGTGGTTGTGGGGATTGAGGGGAATGACATTGGGCAGTCTGTCTCAAACAGTGCAGAGAATTCTCTTTTGGGGGATTGGAGGGAGGGGTGCCAATAATACTTAAACTTGTCCTACTGCAAAACCTCCTTTACCTCCCTTCACCAATTCACATGACATTGGCCAGAAGCAGCTGTACCAAGTGCAGGAACTCTCTGAAGGCTTGAGTTTTATCAATTCATGCAAAATCTACATTGTATGGATACTTTAATATTTATTTTTAAAAGTTTATTTTTCCCCACTAATGTTTAAGTAAAATTTATTCTTCAGAAAGAGTGTGCCATGTCTATTATATGGCTTCCAATATCCATGATGAAAACATCCCAGCTTGAGAAGCACTGATGAAGGCAACACTTCGGAATGTGGAAAGGATTGCTGAGCAGCGCCAGTTTGTGGGAGATGGTTTTTATCTTTTTGGTGCTGCTGACCTATAAGAGTAATGAAAAAATTCAAAAGTTGGGGGCCACATAATCGGAAAAAAAATTAATTTGTTCTTTGGTTTGCAGTTTGAGAGGGGAAGAAATACAAAGCTGGTTTTATCAGCTTTTTTTTCTTAATTGAAATTTTTTCAATATATTCCTTAAGTAATTTTTGTAAAATTATGGCAATTGGAGGTTGGAGTGAAAGAATGGACTAAGAAAAAAGACTGAGCTGTGACTAGAAAAGGACTGACATGAAGCAACAGATGTTATGTAGGTGAGAAATGAGCAGGAATTAGGCTTACAGAGAAGAAACAGGGAAGATTTTGTAGTATGTTCATGGTGCTGCTGATGTTATGTTTGTTTTATTTGTTTGTTCATTTAAGTAGAGGAGTTTATTTTGTGCCCTTACATCCCTAGGCCTTTTGCAGCCTCCTTCCCTTATTAATAGCACCTGACCCAATTTAGGATAAGCCTAAAAAAGGGCTATTCCCCATAGGGGCTTATAGGACTAGTTTCATGCTCAGACAGGAACTTTCAGATCCACCTGTGCAGAAATGGACTAAATACATAGGTGGGGTTCACTCTGCAAAAGACTTAGAGAAGAGGAGGAAAGAGTTTTAAGTACCAGTAACTATGCATTTAAAGCTGATGAAAGCAGTGAGGAGCTAATAGCCTAAAATGTTGTGTTCTGTTAATTGAACATTTTAAAATATTCATCTTAATTCATAGGTTGTGAATCCATATGGAAGCAACCAAAAGTAACCGTCTCTCCCAGATTCAGTGTTACAGTTCCTTTCAAGAGATTCCAGGAAAATAGACACATTTCTTTCAAAAAGCTATGTGCAAAGGCACACCAACTTGTTATGTACCTCAGAGCTCAAAGACACAAAGATGTACTTGTGTTTAATAATTCTATAATTTTTAATTTTTTAATTACATGTATGGTAAGTGGTGAAAAGCTTTTTTTTTTTTTTTTTTTTTTTTTTTGAGATGGAGCTTTGCTCTTGTTGCCCACACTGGAGTGCAATGGCGCGACCTCGGCTCACCGCAACCTCTGCCTCCCGGGTTCAAGCGATTCTCCCACCTCAGCCTCTCGAGTAGCTGGGATTACAGGCATGTGCCACCATGCCTGGCTAATTTTGTATTTTTAGTAGAGACAGGGTTTCTCCATGTTGGTCAGGCTGGTCTCGAACTCCCGACCTCAGGTGATCTGCCCTCCTTGGCTTCCCAGAGTGCTGGGATTATAGGCGTGAGCCATCATGCCTTGCCAAAAAGCTCTTTTGACTAAGACAACAAAAAAAGTTAAGTGCCTTAAGTTGGGACTGGTAGATACAGGACTCTGTTGGAGGTTGGTTCTAGGCTCAGCTCTGTCTCTGATCAGCTGCCTGACTGAGTAAACCATGTTAGGTTTCTGGGCCTGAGTGTCTGTTCTTAATTGTTGGGGTAGATGAGGACAGTGATTTTCAAACCTTTTTTTAGCTTGGAACTCTTATGTTTAAACAAAGTCTCGTACAGAAATATAAACAAATAGAACCTATTTGCACAGACCTGTTTGGGGCTAGAGATTTTATCCTTGATGAACACCAGACTGGGTTACTAAATTTAGCTCTAAACCTTTCTTTTTGTTGTAATTAATATTTTTCATTCCTGTCCAAAATCTTGACTTTCAGGCATTCTTGGAGTCTTTTCTTTTTTTTAATTTCATGGAGCTACAAAATACTAGAGCGACCCTTGTGGTTTTTCAGTTCGAGTTCTAGATCCAAGAGGTGAGGGTGGACTTCAGGTTGTCTGAAGTCTCTGAAATTGTACACAAAATGTTGTGTTTTTTGTTTTTTTTTTTTTAACTTTTTAGGGAAAAGATACATAGTTTTCATCTATACTAAGAGTATAATACTATTTTATTTTTTATGATATGTTGGAATTGAAGATGATTATTATACATTCTTTAAATAGCAGAAAAATTGGAAACAACCTGTATAGCCAGGAAACTGGTTAAAAAGATTGTGAGTTGCCATTTAAAATGACATTTAGAACAAATTATTTTAATAGTATGGGAAAATACTATTTAAAAAAAGCATGACACAAACTCACATATACCATATGATCTCAGCCACTTTAAATTACGCAAATAAGACTAGAAGGAGGTGTATCAAATTATGTTATCTCTTGGCATTTGGGATTATAGATTTATTTTCCCAGTTTACTATAATAAGCATATATAACTTCCATAAAAAGATTTTTAATGTAAAGCATTTCACAGAAATGACAACAAAATGATCTGTGGCTCTAGTAGCTTTCTTGTGTAATATGATTATTATTATTAAAACTTTACTCTGCACCTACTGTTTCTATACAGTTGTCTTTTTCTGTTAGCTACTAGAACAGTGGCATGTAATCAGGTATGTTCATCAGAGCCGTACATGGAGTATTTAAAAATGTACATGTCTCACTCTATCCCCACAGCTTCTGATTAAGTAGATGAAGAGTAGGGCTAGCATCCGTATTTTTTAAAAGCTTTACAAATGATTTAAATCAGCCGCCTAACTGAGAATGTAATCTATAACCAGAAGCTGTTGAGTATGATACTTACCTTCCGCTTAGCAGCAAGCATCAACGTTTGAAGCCTTCACTTCACATTTAGTTGTTAAACTTAAGGGGAAAACAGCATATTTGAGTTATACAAAATAAACCCAAATACGGGTGCTATACATTATTTTAAAGCTAGCTAGACAAGAATCTTGAAAAGAGTCCATTTAATACTATTCCATATCTCTAATGCATGTTGCTTTTGGTTTTATCTTTTACTCCCTAGTGAATGGAGTGCCATAGAAAAAGAAATGGGTGATGGACTGCAGAGTGCTGGTCATCATATGGATGTGTAAGTACCTCGAGAACTTTTGTGAAGCCTGAGGTGAAGTCCTGTAGTGAAGCATTAGTGACTCTTCTATTCTTCTGTTTTTATCAAGTTTGCTGGCATTTATATTGCGCTCTATGTGTACATATCTGACTTAAATTTATCTCAGGAATGCAAAGTTAGTTTAACATTTGAAAATCCATCTAATTCATATTTTAACAGAATGAAGATGAAAACATTGAAGGTATGTTCATTTCCATACATGTAGAAAAAGCATTTGATGAATTTTAACACCCATTTACAGTAAAAAGTCTCATCAACTAGGAATAAAAGGGAATTTTCTCAGTCTAAAATTTATAGCCAATATTGTACTTAATAGTGAAATATTGAGGCTTTCTCTTAAGGTCAAGAAAAAGGCAAGGTTGTTTGCTCTTGCCGCTTTTAGTAAACATTGTACTGGAGGTCCTACTCAATATGGTGAGACAAGAAAATTAAATAAGAGCCCTAAATATTAGGAAGAAGCAAAACTATATTTTCAGTTGAAAGGTCTTTTACACAGAAAACCATAAACAATCAACCAAAAACATTGTAGAACTAACAACTGATTTTTTTTTTTTTTTTTTTTTAAAGAGACTAGGTCTTACTTTGTTGCCCAGGCTGGAGGGTATTGGTACAATCACAGCTCACTGCAGCTTCAACCTTCTGGGCTCAAGCACACCTTCCACCTCAGCCTCCCAAGTAGCTAGGACTACAGGTGCATGCCACCACGCCTGGCTAATTATTTTTTATTTTTTTGTAGAGGCAGAGTGTTGCTATGTTGCCCAGGTCGATCTTGGACTCCTGGCCTTAAGCAATCCTCCTGCCTTGGCCTCCCAAAGTGCTGGGATTACAGGCATGAGCCGCTGTTCCCAGATTGAATTAAATTTTTTTTTTTCTTTTTTTAGAGATGGGGTCTTGCTGTGTTTCCCAGGCTGGTCTCAAACTTCTGGCCTCAAGGGATTCTCCCATCTCAACCTCCCAAAGTGCTGGGATTAGCGGCGGGAGCCAGCACACCTGGCCAACAACTGAATTAATTTTATTTTTTCCAACTTCTATTATAGGTTCAGGGGTTACATGTGCAGGTTTGTAAATTGCCTGACATGGGGATTTGGTGTACAGATCATTTCATCACCCAGTAAGCTTAGTACCTGAGAGGTGGTTTTTCGATTCTCACCCTCCTCCTAACCTCCACCCTTAAGTAGGCATTGATTTCTGTTGTTCTCTTCTTTGTAATCCACGTGTACTGAATGTTTAACTCCCACTTATAAATGAGAATATGTGATACTTGGTTTTTTGTTCCTGTGTTAATTCACTTAGGATAATGGCCTCCAGCTGCATCCATGTTGCTGCATCCTTATTGCTGCATCTATTCTCTTACATGGCTGTGTAGTATTCCATGGTATACATGTACCACAGTTTCTTTATCCAGTCCACCGTTCATGGCATTTAGGTTGATTCCATGTCTTCGCTATTGTGAATACTGCTGCAGTGAACACAGGCGTGCATGTATCCTTATGGTAGAATAATTTATATTTTGGGGGATATAGACCCAGTACTGGGAGACTGCTGGGTTGAATGGTACTTCTATTTTAAGTTCTTTGAGAAATCTCTAGACTGCTTTTCACAGTGGCTGAACTAATTTACTTTCCCAACAGCAGTGTGTGTTCCTCTTTCTCTGCAACCTTGCCAGCATGTTATTTTTTGACCTTTTAGTAATAACCATTCTGGCCAGGTGCAGTGGCTCACGCCTGTAATCCCAGCACTGTAGAAGGCTGAGGTGGGCAGATCTCTTGAGCCTAGGAGTTCAAGACCAGCCTGGGAAACATAGCAAGAACAAGTCTCTGTTATTTAAGTTAAAAAAAATAATAATAATAACCATTCTGACTAGCGTGAGATGGTATCTCATTGTGGTTTTGATTTTCATTTATTTAATGATGTTGAGTATTTTTTCATGTTTGTTGGCCACATGTATGTCTTCTGTTGAGAAGTATCTGTTCATATCCTTCCCCCCACTCCTTTATTTTTATGTTTATTTTTGTTTTCATTTTTTCTGAGATGGAGTCTCACTCTGTCACCCAGGCTGGAGTGCCGTGGCGCAATCTTGGCTCACTGCAACCTCTGCCTCCCAGGTTCAAGCAATTCTCCTGACTCAGCCTCCCGAGTAGCTGGGATTACAGGCGCCCACCACCACACCCGGCTAATTTTGGTATTTTTAGTAGAGACAGGGTTTTGCCATTTTGGCCAGACTGGTCTCAAACTCCTGGGCTTGAGTGATCTGCCCAACTCAGCCTCCCGAAGTGCTTGGATTACAGGGGTAAGCCACCGCACCTGGCCCTTTTTTTTTTTTTTTTTTTGGAAGACAGAGTCTCACTCTTTCACCCAGGCTGGAATGCAGTGGCACCATCTCAGTTCACTGCAACCTCTACCTCCCGGGGTCAAGTGATTCTTCTGCCTCAGCTTCCCAAGTAGCTGGGACTACAGACATGTGCCACCACACCCAGCTAATTTTTGTATTTTTAGTAGAGACGGGGATTTGCCATATTGGCCAGGCTGGTCTCAAACTCCTGACCTCATGATCCGCCCACCTCAGCCTCCCAAAGTGCTGGGATTATAGGCGTGAGCCACTGCGTCCGGCTTTTTTTCTTTTTTTAAACAGAGTCTTACTCTGTCTCCCAGGCTGGAGAACAGTGGTGCTATCAGCTTACTGCAGCCTCCTCCTCCCCAGTTCAAGCGATTCTCCTGCCTCAACCTCCCAAAAGTGTGGGATTACAGGTGTGAGCCACCACGCCTGGCCTCCTTTGCCCATTTTTAAATTGAGCTGTTTTTTGCCTGTTAATTTGTTTAAGTTCCTTATAGATTCTGGATATTAAACCTTTGTCAGATAACATAGTTTGGGAATATCTTCTCCCATTTCGTAAGTTATCTGTTTACTCTGTTTATAGTTTCTTTTGCTGTGCAGAAGCTCTTTAGTTTAATTAGGTCCCAACTGTCATTTTTTGTTTTGTTGCAATTGCTTTTGGAGTCTTCATCATGAAATCTTTGCCATAGCCTATGTCCCAAATGGTATTTACTAGGTTTTCTTTTTTTTTTTTTTGTTAATAGTTATAGGTTTTACATTTAAGTCCTTAGTCTATCTTGAGTTGATTTTTGTATGTGATAACAGGAAGGGGTCCAGTTTAAATCTGCATATGGCTAACCAACAACTGAATTTAATTAAGATGCAGGATGCAAGTTTAATATCTAAAAATCTATTATATACTAGCAACAATTTGAAAATAAAAAATTTAAAATAATGCTATTTATGATAACATCAAAACATAAAACTTAGGTATTAATTTAATGAAAGATATGAAAGACCTCTACAGTGAAAACTACATAAAACATTGCTGAGAGAAATTAAAACCTAAATAAATGGAAAGATAAACTATGTTCATGGATTGGAAGGCATTGTTAAGATGTCAGTTCTCCCCAAATTGCTAATTCTAAAGTTTACATGGGCCGGGCACAATGGCTCACACTTTTAATCTCAGCTGTTTGGGATGCCGAGACAGGTGGATCACTTAAGGTCAGGAGTTTGAGACCAGGCTGGCCAACATGGTGAAACCCTGTCTCTACTAAAAATACAAAAATTAGCCGGGTGTGGTGGCGCATGCCTATAGTCCTAGCCACTTGGGAGGCTGAGGCAGGAGAATCACTTGAACTCGGGAGGCAGAGGTTGCAGTGAGCCGAGACCACACCACTGCACTCCAGCCTAGGTGACAGAGTGAGACTTTGTCTCAAAAAAATAAAATAAAAAGTAAAAGTTTATATGGACATTTAAAGAACCTAGAATAGCTACAACAATCTTGACAAAGAACAAAACTGGAATATATTACTTTCAAGATTTACTAGGCCGGGCACAGTGTATCACACCTGTAATCCCAGCACTTTGGGAGGCTGAGGCGGGTGAATCACCTGAGACCAGGAGCTCAAGACCAGCCTGGCTGACATGGCGAAACCCCATCTCTACTAAAAATACAAAATAAATTAGCCAGGTGTGGTGGCAGGCGCTTGTAATCCCAGCTACTCAGGAGGCTGAGGCAGGAGAATCACTTGAACCCAGGAGGCGGAGGCTACAGTGAATCGAGATTGCACCATTGCACTCCAGCCTGGGTGACAAGAGTGAAACTCTGTCCCCACCTCCCAAAAAAAAAAAAAAGATTTACTATAAAGCTAAGTTATGAAGATAGTGAGGTATTGGCATAAAGTTAAACAGATTGACCAGGTACAGTGGCTCATGCTGTGATCCCGGCTCTTTGGCAGGCAAACGTGAGTAGATCCCTGGAGTCCAGGAGTTTGAGATCAGCCTGGGCAACATGGCAAAACCCTGTCTCTACAAAAAACTACAAAAATTAGGCCCGGCATGGTGGCTCAAGCCTGTAATCCTAGTACTTTGGGAGGCCAAGGTGGGTGGATTATGTGAGGTCAGGAGTTTAAGACCAGCCTGGTCAACATGGTGAATCCCTGTCTCTACTAAAAATATAAATATTAGCCAGGTGTGGTGATGTGCACCTGTAGTCCCAGCTACTCAGGAAGCTGAGGCAGGAGAATTACTTGAACCCAAGGAGGCAGTGGTTGCAGTGAGCCTAAGATTGCACCACTGCACTCCAACCTGGGTGACAGAGCAAGACTTTGTCTCAAAAAAACCAAAACTACAAAAATTAGCAGGGAGTGGTGGCATGTACCTGTACTCCCAGCTACTCGGGAGGCTGAAGTGGGATGATCACTTGAGCCCAGAAAGTCAAGGCTGCAGTTGAGTCATGATCCTGTCACTGCATTTTAACCTGGGTGAGAGTGAGACTGTGTCTCAAAAAAAAAAAAAAAAAAAAAAAAAAGAAAGATAAATAGATCAATGGAACAGAATTCTGTACAGAAATAGACTCACACTTCTATAGCTCATTTCAACAAATGGTGTTGGAATAACTGGATATCTACATGGAAAAAAAAAAACCTTGAGCCTTATCTTACACTTGACACAAAACTAATTCAATTCGGCTCATACACATAATTGTAAAAGGTAAAAGTATAGCTTATAGTGGAAAACATTGTTAAGAAGGATATGAAAAGAAAAAATTACTTTAAATGGCAAATTGGTCTTCATCAAATTTAAAATTTTTGTTTAAATTTTGATGACCAATTTACCATTTGATACCATTGAAGGAGCAAGAAATTGAGAGTTAAATGGGGTGCAGAGTTTCAGTTGCAGACGATGAGAAAATTATGGAGGTGGGTGGTGGTAATGATTATGCAACAGTGTATATATACTTAATACCACTGAGTTGTATACTTAAAAATTATTAACAAGGTAAATTTTATATTATGTATGTTTTACTATTTTTTAAAATTTTAATATAAATTGATACAGGGTCTCACTGTGTTACCCAGGCTGGTCTCAAACTCCTGGGCTCAAGTAATCCACCGTCATAGCCTCTCAAAGTGCTGGGATTACAAGCATGAGCCACCCCGCCAGGCCTTTACTATTTTTTAAAAAGCGACACTATTAAGACAGTGAAGAAGCAAGTATAGGAGCAAACATTTCTAACCATAGTATAGAAAGAACTCCTGTGATTCAAAAAGACAAAAAATAGATCTTAAATATTCTCACCACAAAAATAATGCCAAGTATGTCAGGTGATGGATATGTTAATTAGCTTCATTTAATCATTTCATGATGTATACATACATCAAAACATCACATTGTACACTGTAAATACATACAGTTCTTTAATTATACTTTAAAGCTAGGAGAGAAAAAAGAAAAAATGTGTTTATCTAAATATTACTTTTCCTTAGGCCATGTTCCAAACCAACTAGCTACTTTTTTCAACTATTTTGTTTAACCCTAAGTTGTCCTGTGGTCTCTTGATTTGGCATTTCAATGTTTCCAAGAATTTAGGATTATCCCTTCAGTTGATTTATGAAAGTGTTAAATAAAATTCTGAGTACTGAGATCTAAAAATCTTTATCATTTATACTTCCCCACCCTAGGATGTTCCAGTTTCTCCCTACACTGTGTTTCCTATCTTCAGGCCACAAGTCCTCTTTGTTTTCTTCACATTAACTCTTCCAGAATCATAGACTTAGGAACTAAAGGCAGGTTTTCCTACTCTTAATAGTGATTCTCAAGACTTTTTTCCAGTCACATATAAGAAATTATTCACTCTCATAGCTGTAAGTTTGTACTTACAGAATGTATATGTTCACTGCTTACATAAATCCTGTAAGCACATTGCTTTTCAAATGACCCTTAGCATAGTTTTGTTTATTTTGTCTTACAACTTCAATAAACTTGATGAGGCAGGTCTAGAGACATAAAGTGTGTCCATGCGAAGGAACCAGAATTAATTTGAAAGAAGGATACCTGTTGTATCACACAGAAGTAGTACATACACATAGCCCCTGTCCTTATGGAATTTACAATGCTATCAGAGAAATAAAACCAACACACGAGGCCGACTCTAGGTGTACTGCCTATGAGTTAGTCCTGCTCCTCAAGGAGCAGTGCTCTTCAATAAAAGGTTTCCACCTGACACCACCGGCTCACCCTTGAATTCTTTCCTGGGCGAAGCTGATAACCCTCCTGGGCTAACCTCCAATTTTGGGGCTCACTTGTCCTGCATTATCTAGATCTGGTAATTCCTTATCTAATGTCAATCTAAAAGGAACTAAACAGTGGAATGGTGTGTGTAATTAAATGTATCTGATAAACTGCAACTTGCCATGTATTTCATACAATTTTATATTAAATTACAATACCTTGTATCAGCTATGGTTTCTTCTCTCTTTTTTTTTTTTTTTTTTTTTTTGGTGAGACAGAGTCTAACTCTGTCACCCCAGCTTGAATACAATGGCACATTCACAGCTCACTGCAGCCTTGGACCTCCTGGGCTCAGGCATTCCTCCCAAATTAGCCTCCTGAGCACCTGGGACTATAGGCATGCACTACCATGTCCAGCTAATTTTTGTATTTTTTGTAGAGACAGGGTCTTGCCATGTTGCCCAGGCTGGTCTCGAACTCCTGGGTTCTAGTGTACAATCTCCAGTTACAGCTTTTCCATCTGCCCTGGCTTTAGTACCGAGTTTTCTCTTGTCACTAGATTTGTCACAGTCAGCCTATCAATTGGCACATTGTAGATGCTCAACAAATAGATAATTCAAATAAATAAGAATCACTTTTAAAAAAACCAACACATGGGATATGACTTTGATAAAATTTAAGTTCAAATTGTTGATAAGGGAACGAAAGTAGAATGATGACTAAAGACTAAAGCAGTCTGGGAAAATTTCCTAGAGGTGTTGAGACATGTGCTTGTATGGTTTGGAGAAGCAATGTGGGAGCCATCACATTCTGTACAAATGAAGACTCATGCGCAGGAATGAAACTGGGATGACATTGAGGGAGTCTCCCAATCAAAGCAGAGGTTGCTATTAAGAATTAGTATAAAATGGCCGGGCGCTGTGGCTCACGCCTGTAATCCTAGCACTTTGGGAGGCTGAGGCGAGTGGGTCAGGAGATCGAGACCATCCTGGCTAACACGGTGAAACCCCTTCTCTACTAAAAATACAAAAAATTAACTGGGCGTGGTGACAGGCACCTGTAGTCCCAGCTACTTGGGAGGCTGAGGCAGGAGAATGGCGTGAACCCGGGAGGCAGAGCTTGCAGTGAGCCAAGATCGCGCCACTGCACTCCAGCCTGGGCGACAAAGTGAGACTCCGTCTCAAAAAAAAAAAAAAATTAGTATAAAATAAGCTTCTAAAATTTTCTCCAACCTTTATTTACTCTACTTTTTCTTTTGTAGCTATTTGGCATCATTATAATAAATAATTGCAACCAAGAACATATGTATACCAATTATACCAAACTCTTATTCTTTCTACAGATTTTGTAGCCCTTTTATGTATGTCTTTGAACAAAAGATATTACAGTCTTACAAGCTTCTTAAACTGCCTATGAAAAAGACCATTTTTTTGTTTGTTTATTTCTAAGTCATTGCTGACCAAAACATTTTGGTAAAATTCAATAAAATCATCATGGTAATTACACATTGCTGTCAGTGATTCTAAACGCTAATTCTCACTGTCTGTACTTACAACATCACTGATGGGTAGCAAATTATCTGTGGGCCACACTTAGAATTGCTGTTTTTTGTTTGTTTGTTTGTCTGTTTGTTTTTGAGACAGAGTCTTGCTGTGTCACCCAGGCTGGAGTGCACTGGTATGATCTTGGCTCACTGCAACCTCCTCCTCCCGGGTTCAAGAGATTCTCCTGCCTCAGCCTCCCAAGTAGCTGGGATTACAGGCACCCGCCCCCACTTCCGGCTAATTTTTGTATTTTTAGTAGAGACAGGGTTTCACCACGTTGGCCAGGCTGGTCTCGAACTCCTGACCTCAAGTGATCTGCCCTTCTTGGCCTCCCAAAGTGCTGGGATTACAGGTGTGAGCCACTGCGCCCAGCCTAATTGCACTTCTCTAGAACCCTAATACTTTGTATTCCAATGAAAGTAACTCTATGCAATGTGTGTTTTTTTTTTTAAAACAGGTATGCATCTTCTATTGATGATATTTTGGAAGATGAAGAACATTATGCAGATCAGTTAAAAGAGTATCTTTTTTATGCAGAAGCATTGCGGTAAGTTTAATAAAAGTTCCAGGTGCAGCCACAGGGTTGTTCACCACTCTCCTCATATGCCACTGTAAAGTACAGATAGTAGAGTGTTTTTTAAATGAATGCATTCCCTCAGATAATGAATGAGGTCTCATTGTATTTCTCTGTGTTGCAGAGTGCTAGGCATAAACATGTAAGATGAGGCCTGCCCTCGAAGCATCATTTTGATAAAACCTGCCAGCCTCAGGCATCAAGTGTGCCTGTATGTTGTTGTTTCCACTTTTTCCAGTTTGAAGATTGGAAGCAAAATACAGATTCAGTGTGTGTAACAGTATCTGTTACTATGTTGTATATTGCTATTTTTATTCTGTGTGTCTTATCAGTAGCTTGTACAACGTCCTTATGTAACAAGGACTTTCTTATCTGTTCTTATGTTATCTTTTACAGAGCCAAAGGGAATTCTCTTTTAGATAGTCCTACGTGACTAGGAAAAAGTTAATATATTTTTTTCTGATCAGTTTAGAAAAAGGAATTATTTTCCCAGAATAGGTGGCTTTTGGTCAGTTGTCCTGTCACTTTTTTTTTTTTTTTTTTTTGAGACAGACTAGAGTTTGGCTGTGTCACCCAGGCTGGAGTGCAGTGGCGTGATCTCGGCTCACTGCAACCTCCACGTCCCGGGTTCAAACTATTCTCCTGCCTCAGCCTCCTGAGTAGCTGGGATTACAGGCGCCCGCCAACACACCCAGCTAATTTTTGTATTTTTAGTAGAGACAGGGTTTCACCGTTGTTGGCCAGGCTGGTCTCAAACTCCTGACCTCGGGTAATCCACCCGCCTCGGCCTCTCAAAGTGCTGGGATTACAGGCATGAGCCAACACTGTCCTGTCGCTTTTAAAAGCAGTATAAGAATTCTGTTAGGAAAACAAGAGCACTATTCCCTTACCTCTGTGGTGATTGGTGTGAAATCATCTGCACATTGTTAGCTCGTTTTCCTTCTAGGGCTTTGAGTAGTAGGAAGTCTCACCAATGTATTTTCAAGTCACCAAGCAAAAGAAAGTTGGCTAGGTGAGGTGGCTCCTGCCTGAATCCCAGCACTTTGGGAGCCCAAGGCGGATGGATCACCTGAGGCCAGGAGTTCGAGACCAGCCTAGCCAACATGGTGAAACCCCGTCTCTACTAAAATTACAAAAAAGTTAGCCAGGCATAGTGGTGGGTGCCTGTAATCCCAGCTGCTGGAGAGGCTGAGGCAGAATAACTGCTTGAACAGGGGAGGTGGAGGTTGCAGTGAGCCGAGATCGCACCATTACACTCCAGCCTGGGTGACAGAGTGAGATTCTGTCTCAAAAAAGAAAGTTGCTGAGTACAGTGGAATTCTCTGCAGCTCTTAAAAATTATAAAAGGGATTAATGTATGTTGACATGGAAAGATGGCCAGGGTGTATAGCCATTTGAGAAAAGATGTAGGAACCATTTGGGGTGCATGGATATGGTATTTGTCAATGCCTAGCTAAATTCTGAAAGATTATATACTATCTGGTAACACCGATTATATCTGGATAGTGGGATTGGAGGAAAGAGAGTGTTCTTGAACTTTCTTGTTGTATTTTGTTTTTTTTATTTTTTTGAGTTGGAGTTTCACTCTGTTGCCCAGACTGGAGTACAGTGGCACAATCTCTGCTCACTGCCACCTCTGCCTCCTGGGTACAAGTGATTCTCCTGCCTCAGCCTCCCAAGCAGCTGGGATTACAGGCATGCACCACCATGCCCGGCTAATTTTTGTATTTTTAGTAGAGATGGGGTTTTACCATGTTGGTCAGGCTGGTCTTGAACTCCTGACCTCAGGTGATCTGCCCACCTCGACCTCCCAAAGTGCTGGGATTACTGGCATGAGCCACCATGCCCAGCCTCTTTTTTTTACTTTGTGCATTGCTGTATTAGAATCTTTTCTTTTCTTTTTTTTTTTTTTTTTTTTTTTTTTTTTTTGAGACGGAGTCTCGCTCTTTCACCCAGGCTGGAGTGCAGTGGCGTGATCTCGGCTCACTGCAGGCTCCGCCCCCCGGGATTCACGCCATTCTCCTGCTTCAGCCTCCCGCGTAGCTGGGAGTACAGGCGCCTGCCACCTCTCCCGGCTTTTTTTGTATTTTTAGTAGAGACGGGGTTTCACCGTGTTAGCCAGGATGGTCTCAATCTCCTGACCTCGTGATCCACCCGCCTCGGCCTCCCAAAGTGCTGGGATTACAGGCATGAGCCACCGCGCCCATCCGAATCTTTTCTTTTTACAGTGAACATGGATTACTTTTATGATCATAAAAACTAATAAACATTTCTAGGCCAGGCGACATGGCTCATGCATATAATCCTAGCACTTTGGGAAACTGAGGTGGATGGATTGCTTGAGCCCATGAGTTTGAGACCAGCCTGGGCAACATGGGCGAGACCCCATCTCTACAAAGCACAAATTAGTTGGATATGGTGGCACATGCCTTAGTCCCAGCTACTTAGGAGGCTGAGGTGGGAGGATTGCCTGAGCCCAGGAGGCAGAGGTTGCATTTAGCCGAGATTGCACCATTGCCCTCCAGCCTGGGTGACAGAGTGAGACCTTGTCTCCAAAAAAAAAAAAAAAAAAATACCTAATAGACATTTCTAAATCACAAAGAAGAAAACTTTGAGGTATTATCTTTTCTAAGAATACTCAGTTGCTATGTGAGATTACAGCATTAGTTCTTACATTATGTAAGAACTAATTATGTATGTAGTTCATTATGTATGTAATTATGTATACATATGTATACATTATGTATGTAGTTCTCACATACATTAAAAAATGTTTTATGTATGTGATAATGGCATGTTTATTGAAAGAAATGTTCCAAGTATATGGAAAACAACTTTTTTTGTGTTAAGAATATATGACGTTTTTGGCCGGGTACAGGTGGCTCATGCCTGTAATCCCAGTACTTTGGGAGGCCGAAGTGGGTGGGTCACCTCAGGTCAGCAGTTTGAGACCAGCCTGGCCAATATGGAGAATTCCCATCTCTACTAAAAATACAAAATTAGCTGGGTGTGGTGGCGCATGCCTGTAATCCCATCTACTAGGGAAGCTGAGGCAGGAGAATCATTTGAACCCGGGAGGCGGAGGTTGCAGTGAGCCGAGATCGCGCCATTGCACTCCAGCCTGGGCAACAAGAGCAAAACTCTGTCTCAAAAAAAAAAAAAAAAAAAAAAGAATATATGAAGTTTTTATGGTTAGGTTCTGCTAGATTCCATTAGATTCCATTTTTAATGTTGGGCTACTACATTTTAAACTTGAAAATTCTGGGCACACACATTCTGCCCTAGCGAGACATTGTGAATGGTTCTCCTCTACCCTTGAAAAAAATGTTTGACATGTTAAAGGAAAAGTTAAATGGCAGCACATTTTTTCATCTGTAGGGCTGTGTGCAGGAAACATGAACTTATGCAGTATGACTTGGAGATGGCTGCTCAGGACTTAGCATCCAAGAAGCAGCAGTGTGAGGAACTGGTAACTGGGGTGAGTATTTTCCTTTTGGCCTCTGATGATACTGTAGCAACACGGAATGTTCCTCACAAGCACTCACTCTGAGTGAGTAACTCACTCCTGTAGAATCAGTTCCAGTTACAATACTCAGGACGGCTGAACCTTTTACAGGGGAATAATTTGTGAGTAACTTTATAATTCTTTTATTATTATCTTGATACAAAATGATGTAAGCCATTAAAACCATGTACTGTATAGAATTATAAGAAATTTTGCCAACATTTCTCTGGTGTAATCAGTATCATCCGGTTTCGTTTTAAAAAAAAAAAAAATTATTGGGCTGGGCACGGTGGCTCACACCTGTAATCCCAGCACTTTGGGAGGCCAAGGCCAGTGGATCACCTGAGGTCAGGAGTTCGAGATTAGCCTGGCCAACATGGTGAAACCCGATCTCTACTAGAAATACAAAAATTAGCCAGGTGTGGTGCCTCACGCCTGTAGTCCCAGCTACTCGGGAAGGTGAGGCAGAAGAATTGCTTGAACCAGGGAATCGGAGGTTGCAGTGACCCGAGGTCACGCCACTGCACTCCAGCCTGGGTGACAGAGCAAGACTCCATCTCAAAAAAATTGTTTTTATTAATTTTTATTTTTTGAGACAAGGTCTGGTTCTGTTTCCCAGGCTGGAGTGCAGTGGTATGATCAGGGCTCATGGAAGCCTCAAACTCCTGGGATCAAGTGGTCTTCCTGCCTCAGCCTCTTGAGTAGTTGGGACCACAGGCATGTGCCCCCATGCCTGGCTAATTTTGTTTATAGTCTCATCATGTTGACCAGGGTGGTCTCAAACTCCTGGACTCAAGTGATCCTCCCACCTCCGCCTCCCAAAGTGCTAGGATTACAGGGGTAAGCCACCATGCCTAGTCTATCATCTGGTTTCTAAGTCCAAGTGAAAAAACATGCAGTGACCTTTATCAGGTTTAACTTTGCAAGGTACTTTGCAGAAATTTTAGTTGACTTTGAAAAGCCTTACCCACTTAGAACCAGTGCATCTCGCCTAACAGGGAGCTTTTGATGTACTTTATTCTTTAATGCTTACAGTGAGTACTTGTGAGGAAAATTCTGTACCTGATTGCATTAGTCTTGGATCATTTTTATAATCAGCTTTCTACTCCAGTTATTTCATTGCAATAAATCAGCCATCATGGTGAGCAACACACATTCTGAAAGTAGTAAACCAGCAGCAATGTCTCTACTTAGTTAATAAGCACTGTAGTTTTTGTTTGTTTGTTTGTTTGTTTTTAGACCGAGTTTCGCTCTGTTGCCCAGGTTAGAGTGTGGCTCACTGCAAGCTCCACCTCCTGGGTTCACACCATTCTCCTGCCTCAGCCTCCTGAATAGCTGGGACTACAGGCGCCTGCCACCACGCCCGACCAATTTTTTTTTTGCACTTTTAGTACAGACGGGGTTTCACCATGTTAGCCAAGATGGTCTGAATCTCCTGACCTCGTGATCCGCCCGCCTCGGCCACCCAAAGTGCTGGGATTATAGGCATGAGCCAGCGCGCCTGGCCAAGCACTATAGTTTTAAAAGTGCTTTTCACAGAGATTACCCACTGGCTACATCTGTGAAAAGTCACAGATATATGTGGGGAAAGACTTGTGACCAGGACACATGTATAAACTAGGCCCTTGGTTTATTTTTAAAACTCAGTGGGAGAAGTTCCCAGGCCATTTTCAGGGAGCTTGGTTCTCTATCCTACATGTCAAGGGAAAAGTGTTTTCTTCAGTAAACTCCAGAGAGTGAGGAAATGTTAAAGCAGTGAAGCTTGGGGTTGCCTTCCCATGCTTGGATTTAGGTATCCTGTTTTATTAATAGATGCCCAAGTTTGAGCGTTGAGTTATGCAGATTTTAAATATGCTTCTTTAGTTTGGTTTATTTCCATAGTTGCCTAGTGAATTTATCGACTTTTTTTATAACATAAAGTAATTTTTAAAATATCATTCATACAGAGTAAGAAATAACGTCTAATATTTCACGTGGAAGTTTTCCATTTGATTATGAAATTCAAGCCGGGTATGGTAGCTTACAATGGCAATCCCGACACCTTTAGCAGCAGAGGCGTAAACCCAGAATTGCTTGAGCCCAGGAATTTGAGACCAGTGTGGATTAATATAGCTAGACCCTGTCTTTACCAAAAATTTAAAAATTAGCTGGGTGTGGTGGCATGCACCTGTGGTCCCAGCCACTTGGGAGGCAGAGGTGGGAGGATCACTTGAGCCCAGGAGGTTGAGGCTGCAGTGAGCCATGATTGTGCCATTACATTCTAGCCTGGGCAACAGAGCAAGACCCCATTTCAAAAAAAAAAAGAAATTCAGTTAGAAGTGTCTTCTTTTTGACTACTCCATATTATTTCAGTGTTAGAAATTCTATTAGGATTCTTGGCTATGACTCTGTAAAAATAAATAAAAACTCATATAAGAGATCCCTGGTTGTGAAGCTTATGGTGGTTTTGTCTGACTTAGGGGAAATATGGCAAATGTTTTCTATTTCCTTTGTGTGTGTAGTGAAATATATATAACATAAAATGTACCATCTTGTCCATTTTTAAGTATATAGTTCAGTAGTGCAGTCATCCCTCAGTATCTTCAGTGAGATTGGTTTAAGGATCCCTGGGATACCAAAATCCTCAGATGCTTAAGTCCCTTCTATAAAATGGTGTAGTATTTGCATGTAACCTGTGCATATCCTTTTGTATACTTTAAATCAGCAGTCGCCAACCTTTTTGGCACTAGGGACCTGTTTTGTGGAAGACAGTTTTTCCATGGACCAGGGCAGGGGGTGCTGAGGATGATTTCGGGATGAAACTGTTTCATTTCAGATCATCTCAGGCATTAGATTTTCACAAGGAACACACAACCTGGATCCCTCACATGCGCAGTTCACAATAGGGTTCGTGCTCCTAAGAGAATCTAATGCCTCTGCTGCTGATCTGACAGGAGGCAGAGCTCAGGTGGTCGCTTGCCTCCTGCTATGCAGCCTGGTTCCAAACAGGCCATGGACTGGTATCACTCCGTGGCTCTGGGGTTGGGGACCCCCTGCTTTAAATTATCTCTAGATTATTAATACCTAATACAGTGTAAACACTGGTGTCTCATATAAGTGGAATCATACAGTATTTGTCTTTTTGTATCTGTCTTATTTCACTTAGCATAATGTCCTGCAGGTTTATCCATGTTGTAGCATATATCAGATTTGATTCCTTTTAAAGGCTGAATAATGTTCCATTGTATGTGTATGTGTATGCCGCATTTTGTTTATCCATTCATCTGTTTCTGTTTCCTTTTAGACTGTGAGAACATTCTCTTTGAAGGGAATGACTACCAAGCTCTTTGGTCAAGAAACTCCAGAGCAGAGAGAAGCCAGAATAAAGGTGCTAGAAGAACAAATAAATGAAGGAGAACAACAGCTAAAGTCTAAAAATCTGGAAGGCAGGTAAAGATGCTGCGATGTTTAAGTAAGCTAGGCTTGTAGACTATATGGTAGATTATTTTATTTATTTATTTATTTATTTTGGTAACAATTCCCAGCTTCATTGGCATCCCTGAATACAGCCTATTCCTTTAAAATGCATTCCTAAGAAATTTGAGTTATCACGCTGGGTGTGGTGGCTCACGCCTGTAATCCTGACACTTTAGGAGGCTGAGGTGGGAGGATTGCTTGAGCCTGGGAGTTTGAGACCAGCCTGGGCAACGTAGGAAGACCCTGTCTCTACAGAAATAAATAAATAAATAAATAAATAAATAAAAATAAAAGAAAGTTGAATTATCAAAAATAATGTTATAGAAACAGTTGTTTCAATGTGGGGGAAAGAGAAATAAAAGTTTCAACTTCATAATATTATTTTCCTGCACTATTCCTGATTTCTACCCTTTGTACTTTCCCTCCACCATTTCTTCTCCCCTCCCCTCCTTCAGTACCCAGCTGAAGTGTTACTTCATTGTGAAGCCTTCTCAGGCTATCACGGCATTTAATTCATGCCAGTATGGTATGGCAGTTTTGTATTAGATGATTGATTGTTCTGTGTGACTATCCCTGGCTAAATTTAAGCCCTTCAAAGTCAGTGATTGTATCTTTTCCACATTCACATCCCAGTGCCTTACATAGGGCTTAGCATGTAATTGTTACATAAGTATTTCTAGAAATTCAGTTCTCAGAGACCCACTATCACTGTTTGACTCATTTTTCTTATTTTTGTTTTCATCTGACAGTCAGTGAATAGACCAAGGCAGACCAAGAGTGTATTTTGGGTTTTGAGGTGGTTTTGTTCATTTTTAGAACTACTAGCACCAAATATGGCAAAGTAATAGATAGAATTAAAAAAGACAGGCCGGGCGCGGTAGCTCATGCCTGTAATCCCAGCACTTTGGGAGGCTGAGGTGGGTGGATCATGAGGTCAGGAGTTTGAGACCATCCTGGCTAACATGCTGAAACCCTGTCTCTACTAAAAACCAAAAAAATTAGCCGAGCGCGGTGGCAGGCGCCTACAGTCCCAGCTACTCGGGAGGCTGAGGCAGGAGAATGGTGTGAACCTGGGAGGTGGAGCTTGCAGTGAGCGGAGATCACGCCACTGCACTCTAGCCTGGGCGACAGAGTGAAACTCTGTCTCCAAAAACAAATACCTCTCGGGATTTTAATTTTTATTATTATTTTTCATTTTTTTGAGACGGAGTCTCACCCTGCTGCCCAGGCCGGAGTGCAGTGGTGCCATTGTTGCTCGCTGCCACCTCAAAGTCCAGGGCTCAAGTGATCCTCCCATCTCAGCCTCCCGAATCACTGGGACTACCGGCTACCAAGCCTGGCTAAAAAAGTTTTTAAACTTTGGTTGTGATTTAAAACAAGTACATGCAGCTGGCCGTGGTGGCTCACACCTGTAATCCTAGCACTTTGGGAGGCCTAGGAGAGTGGATTGCCTGAGGTCGGAAGTTCAAGACCAGCCTGGCCAACATGGTGAAACCTTGTCTCTACTAAAAATACAAAAAATTAGCCGAGTGCAGTGGCGTGTGCCTGTAATCCCAGCTACTCTGGAGACTGAGGCAAGAACCCTGGATGTGGAGGTTGTGGTGAGCCAAGATCACGCCTCTGCACTCCAGCCTGGGCTACAGAGCGAGACTTGGTCTCAAAAAAAAAAAAATGCTAAACGTGATTCATAATCCATCTTGTCAAAAGAGTGTATATTTTCCAGTGACCCCTGGAAGGCACTTACTTCATTGTGACTGACACCTGTTAGGTTTGTGAGCTGGCTTAAGGAGTCATCTATGTGTATTTTATAGGAATAATTTAAAGGTAGAATCCTTGTGGCAAAAACTTAGATTATTAGGCCAGGTGCAGCGGCTCACGCTGTAATCCCAGCAGTTTGGGAGGCTGAGGTGGGCAGATCACCTGAGCTCAGGTGTTCAAGCCCAGCCTGGCCAACATGGTGAAACCCTGTCTCTACTAAAAATACAAAAATTAGTTGGGCGTAGTGGCGTGTGCCTGTAATCCCAGCTACTCAGGAGGCTAAGGCAGGAGAATTGCTCAAACCCGGAATGCAGAGGCTGCAGTGAGCCAAGATCACGCCACTACACTCCAGCCTGGGCAACAGAGTGAGACTCTGTCTCAAAAAAAAAAGAAAAAGTAGATTAAAAGGTACAAGAATATATGACTGTCTGTTTGCTTTTTCCCTAACTATAATTTTTAGGAAAATAAAAAAACTGTCTTATACAAGCAATAACTCTTCCTTCTACATAGGCAATTAAAAACCAACGCCAATGAGAACTGGTTAACTTTTTAGTACACAGTTTATTTAACTTAAATAATAATAATGGCTATACCTTTTATTTCAGAGAATTTGTGAAAAACGCATGGGCTGATATTGAACGCTTCAAAGAACAAAAGAACCGAGACTTAAAGGAGGCCCTCATAAGCTATGCAGTCATGCAGATCAGTATGTGCAAAAAGGTAGGGTTTTTCCTGTTTCAGTGAAGATATATGTATATTCAGAAGTGCTTATACATGTATTTAAATTACCTGACCAAAAAATTTTTCATTTTTATTCTTCTCTTGTAGAATGTTTACCAATTTCTCTATTTTAATTTTGTAGGATTTCTGTTTTATTTTGTTTTGGTTTTTTTATTTTAAAATTTTAAATATTTAAAAAATAGATATGGGGGGGTCTCGCTATGTTGCCCAGGCTGGTCTCGAACTCCTGGCCTCATATAGTCCTCCTGCCTCGGCCTCCCAAAGTGCTGCAATTACAGGTGCGAGCCACCATGTCCAGCCTCTACTGGTGTTACAACCAGTATGCCCATTACTGAGTCTCCACTCATCTAAAGTCCAAATTTGTATCTCCATTTATAACTTGTATTTGAGAATATATACCAAGATTATTTAGATCATATGGTACTCTTGGACCAGACAGTAAAATACCATTCCAGGTATATGCTTTGATTGGAAAATAGCTTGAACATTATTTCGTGAAGACCTGGTTATGATATGCTTCCTCATAAAGTAAATCATTTGTGTTGCTGATATCCATAGTGAAAGATACAAACATTGAAGCTTATTCTAGTTAAAATAAATGTTTGACAATGATGGAAGACTTTCTAAAACGTTGGTTTAAGAACAAAATAGGAAACATTCCTTAACCTCTTTTTTATAACCTAAGATCTGCCAGTGTGACTACCAGTACCAGTGCTTTGATTTGTATCACCTGTCATAATTTATCAAGCACTTTTACATGCATTATCTCAGTAAATTACATGGTAAGATGAATTCTCACATTTATAGGGCAAAATCACACTCATATAAATATATATACAATTCTTATGCTTTAGTTTGTCCCAAAATTTTATTTTTTGGCTGTGGGCCATCACTGAGAGAACAAAGATATTTTGAGGCATAAACACCATACGCACTCACTGGTTAAGTGGGCTCCATTTGGTTTGGACAAATTCATATTTATGCTCAGTGAATTATAAGTTACTGTATACCGTGGATCTTTGGAGTCACTTAAAACAAGTTTAGATCGTGACTGTTGAGTCTGCAGGTGCTAAAGGTTGAGTATGTTGTAGTTTGGTAGCATCTCTATCTTTTTTTTGCCTTCATTCTGTCACCTCTTCTTGCCTGCAGCTAGGTGCTAGATATTTACAATCCATTGTCTTTTTCTTTTTTCTTCTTTTTTTGTTGAAATGGGGTCTTACTGTGTCACCCAGGCTGATCTTAAACTCCTGGGCTCAAGCAGTCCTCCCGCCCTGGCCTCCCAAATTGCTGGGATTATAGGCATGAGCCACCACACCCAGTAGTACAGTCCTTTTTCCAATCTAACTTTTTAACCTCAAGAAATCTGAAAGACCAGATAACAAAGGTTTTTAGTTTTTTTGTTTTTCCTGTAAAAGACTCATTAATAAGCTCCTTGTGATCTCTCATTCACTTCTTTCCAAAGTAAAGTGCAAGACCTTTATATAATGTCTCAAAGGACTTTCCCCCTCCGTTTTGTTTAGGCTGCAGTGGTTGAGGGTGCTAGAAATTTAATCTGTGAATATAAAAGATACTACTATAGCTGTATTTGGACATACTGTTGGATATTTTGTAGGTTTATTCACAAATCCTTAGATAACTAGTAAAACAAAAAGTTTAATAAGAGTTTATGTTCACCTTGTTTCCCAAGAATGGTACTATGCAATTTTGTCGTTTTGTTTTCTTGCCTAAGTGATATAGATTTTTATATGTGATCCTAGCTATTTGGGAGGTTGAGGCAGGAGGATCACTTGATCCCAGGAGTTCAAGACTAGGCTGGGCAACATAGTGAGACCTTCTTTCTTTCTTTCTTTCTTTTTTTTTTTTTTGAGACAGAGTCTCACCCTGTCACCCAGGCTGGAGTGCAATGGCATGATCTCAGCTCACTACAACCTCCGCCTCCCGTGTTCAAGCAATTCTACCTCATCCAGCCGAGTAGATGGGATTACAGGTGTGTGTCACCATGCCTGACTAATTTTTTTGTATCTTTAGGAGAGACGGTTTCACCATGTTGGCCAGGCTGGTCTCAAACTCCTGATCTCATGATCCGCCTGCCTCCACCTCCCAAAGTGCTGGGATTACGGGTGTGAGCCACCGCACCTGGCCCGAGACCTTCTTTCAAAAAGAAAAGAGAAGAAAAAGAAAATTGTTCAAAACCTTAATAAATGACACACTTTAATGATTAAGTATTAAAAAGTTCCTTTCTCATAAATGAGTAATTATTGGAGAATATGTATCTTATTGAAAAAATACCTTACTGAAAAAAACCCTTGCCGGGTACAGTGGCTCACTCCTGTAATCCCAGCATTTTGGGAGGCCAAGGCAGGTGGATCACGAGGTCAGGAGATCGACACCATCCTGCCTAACACACGGTGAAATCTCATCTCTACTAAAAATACAAAAAATTAGCTGGGCATGGTGGCAGGCGCCTGTAGTCCCAGCTACTTGGGAGGCTGAGGTGGTAGAATGGTGTGAACCCGGGAGGTGGAGCTTGCAGTGAGCCGAGATCGCGCCACTGCACTCCAGCCTGGGCGACAGAGCAAGACTCTGTCTCAAAAAAAAAAAAAAAAAAAAAAAAGGAAAAAACCCTTAAGTTTTACTGTTACATCTCTATAAACATGTATTTTTGCTTATGCATATTAGGCCATCTATAACTGTGCTAAGTAACTTCAGGTACTAAGAGGGATTCAGTAATTTAGTACATAATTAGTTTTTATCAAAACTTTAGTTATTAGAGTGATAATTTAATAACTCAATTTATATTTGTTAGACTAATGAAGTTTTTTGTTTCAAATATTACATTGAAAAAACCGAGCCGGGCACTGTGGCTCACACCTGTGATGCCAGCACTTTGGGAGGCAGAGGCAAGCAGGTCGCTTGAGCCCAGGAATTCCAGACCAGCCTGGGTAACATAGTGAGATTCCATTTCTACAAAAAAAAAAAAAAATACAAAAAATAAGCCAGGTGTGGTGGCGTGCACTTGTGATCCCAGCTACTTGGCAGGCTGAGGTGGGAGGATCCCTTGAGCCCTGGAGGTCAAGGCTGCAATGAGCCATGATTATACTCCAGCCTGGGTAACAGAGTGAGACCCTATCTCCAAAAAAAAAAAAAGACTGAAAACTTGTTTGATTTACAAATAGAAATTACTCGAGTATGTGATATGAAATGAATTAACTCAGTTTTCCAACAAGTTGTAGGAGTTCTTTTTCCATTTTGAAGATAAGTTCGTATTAGAGATTCTGTTTCTCTTTTCAGAAGCATTAGACATTTGCTTATATTAGCCACTTCCCAAAATAGTGTCATATTTTCTCGACTTCTTAATTATTCCAAAAAGCAAAACTTAGTGTACCACTAAGCCAAGTACTTGGGTTTTCAGATTCCTTCCAAACTCACATTTTAAAGTTTTTATTTTTATTTTTAGGGAATTCAAGTTTGGACCAATGCTAAGGAATGCTTTAGCAAGATGTAATCCTGTGAATTGAATTTCTCTTCAATCAAAGTGCCCCAAAACAGAAGCACAAGTAAATAAAAGAAATTTAAGTCACTACCTAGTATACATAAACATATACAATAAGTTAAATAAATTCAGCTTTCTTTAACTTAATTGTGGTCGTGTTAATGTAGCACAAAAAATATATTTTAATGAAGATTAAATATTATAATTTGAGGTTTTGGGGACTGGTGCTGATTCCAAAAAGTTAATTTAATAATATATACCAACAGATTGTTTGTCACGCTTCTGAACCAATGACTGAATGTCAAGATGTTCGTTAATTTCTAGATGTTTGTTTCAAGACCAGCTGTTTCAGATCTATTAATGTAGGGAATTTTTCCCTAAGATTGAATTCCTATATTTACTTGGTAAGATCCACTAATCTGTTATAGGGAGTTGTTTTCTCTTGCCTTATAGTTGAGCTATTTGGTTTGACAAAGCTCAGCAGAAACTTGATGTGAAAAATCTACGATTTTCTTCTACATTCATTGATGCCCCTTGTAATGTTTGCATACACTAGAAAATGCCTTCAATTTGTGTTTTACCAGAATTTTGATACTGGTCAGAAATTTTATACTGCCAACAAAGAAGACTCAACTTCTCAGATCTATAATGGGATACATTGTCATCCTCTAGCAACTCCTATATAGAAAGTTTTAACTGAATATGTTACATATAAGAATTAAATTCTTCTCAAATAATTCTTAACCTCAGTAATGAGCCTAAATTTACTCTGCTTGGCTCTCTACACATGGCATTTCAGGGTATAAGATGTAGCATTTCAATGTGTAAGATATATGTACTAAACATATGTGTTGCTATCTTCATCATTAACATCCTTCTTTTCTATTGCTTGGCTGTAATTTTTGTAAAGATAAATTATATTGTTTTTTTGTATGTGTGTTTGTAGTATATGTTCAGAAGGCAAGCATCTTCATTTTGCTAGCTTTGCAGAATCTTAAAATGTGTACTCGTTATTTCTAATGATGTAAAAAAAAATCCCTAGTCCTGTTTAGCATTTGACTTTTTTATATGTTTTAAATGTTGCTGGATTTTTGTGCTGTTTGCCAAACTTATACAATAAATAAATGAAATATTGTGCTGATTTTCAGATGATTTTTGTTAATTTAACAAAGTGATCCATACATATTAATATCTGATGCTCTGTAAGAAAATGATATCTGTCATACTATGTTTTAAAGTGATTAATGCCACATGTTCTCACTTATCAGTGAGAGCTAAACATTGAGTACACATGAACGCAAAGATGGGAACAATAGACACCAGGGCCTCCTTGAAGGGGCAGATTCGGAGGAAGGCGAGGGTCGAAAAACTAGCTATTGGTTACTATGCTCACTCCCTGGGTGATAAAATCATTTGTACACGAATCCC
Organism: Homo sapiens; assembly: GCF_000001405.40. Lineage (NCBI taxonomy): Eukaryota > Metazoa > Chordata > Mammalia > Primates > Hominidae > Homo > Homo sapiens. The sequence goes on along the minus strand of NC_000003.12, from coordinate 125,446,362 downwards.
CAGCAACACACAATTTACCCATGTAGCAAACCTACACAGGTATCCCCTGAACCTAAAACAAAAGTTGAGGAAAGAAAAAAAAATAAAGTTATTAATGGTATAAATTTGTCATCTACCAAAATATTGGTTTTTAAAAATATAAGATGCTGAAATAAGACATGATTTTTAAAATTTTACTTTTTTTTTTTTTTTTTTTTACTGTCAGATGGGTAATGGTTGAAGTTGTAACAAGGTTTGAGGGAGGCACATCTCACACGTGGGTGTGAATACCCAATCATCATGCTTATGAACCACAAAAGGATCATGAGTTTTTTTTTTGTTTTTGTTTGTTTTACTTTAAAAAAAAAAAAAGAGACAGGGTCTGATGTTGCCCAGGCTGGTCTGAACTTCTGAGCTCAAGGAATCCTCCCGCTTCAGCCTCTCAAAGTGCTGGGATTACAGGCGTGAGCCACCCTGACCCGGCCTGTTTTGTTTTGAGACAGGGTCTCTGTCGCCCAGGCTGGAGTATGGTGGCACAATTATGGCTCACTGCAGCCTCAACCTCTGGGGGCTCAAGTGATCCTCCCACCTTAGCCTCCCAAGTAGTTGGGACTACATAGGTACACCACCATGCCTGGCTAATTTTTTTATTTTATTCTTGTAAAGATGAAGTCTCACTGTGTTGCCCAGGCTGGTCTCAAACTCCTGGGCTCAAGCGATCCTACCCCGTTGGCTCCCAAAGTGCTGAGATATAGGCAGGAGCCCCTGTACCCGGCCATGTCAGGGTTTTATAAAAGATAAAATTGGTAGAAGCAAAAGTCATCTGTGTGGATACACATTTTATTCCACTGAATTGTATCATCTCTTGACAGATAAAATACCTTTCCCCTTGGCATTTAAAGATCAAAAGCCTTTTCCCCCAAACTAGCTTTGGACTCGATGTAAAATGTTAGACTTTTTTCTACTAGCTGACTTAATTTGAGAAGGCCATTATTAACTATGTTTCAAAAATGATTTAAGTTCCATGGCTCATGCCTGTAATCCCAGCACTTTGAAAGGCTGAGGTGGTTCGACTGCTTGAGCCCAGTTCAAGACCAGCCTGGGCAACATGGCGAAAACCCATCTCTACAAAAAATACAAAAATTAGTCGAGTGTGGTGGTGCACACCTATGTAATCCCTACCCAGCTACTCAGAAGGCTTAGGTAGGAGCATCACTTGAACCTGGGAGCTTGAGGGTACAGTGAGTCATAATCACACCACTGCACTCCAGCCCAGGCAACATAGTGAGATCCTGTCTCAAACCAGCCCAGGCGACATAGTGAGATCCTGTCTCAAAAATAAATAAATAAAAAGATTTAAGAAAACTCTAGACTGGGTGCAGTTACATGCCTGTAACCCCAGCACTTTGGAAGGCTGAGGCAACTTAAGGCCATCTTAAGGAGTTGAAGAATAGCCTGGGCAACATAGCTAGACTCTGTTGCTACAATTAAAATAACAAAAATTATGTTATTTTCTCTAAAATATACAAATGTACATTTGGTTATGTGTATATTTAACTAGGAATATCTTGACGGGGTTCCTTTTGAAAATTGTATTGCTGGGTGTGGTGGCTCACACCTGTTATCCCAGCATTTTGGGAGGCCAAGGCGGGTGGATCACCTGAGGTCAGAAATTCAAGAGCAGCCTGGCTAACATGGTGAAAATACATGAATTACAAATACAAATACTCTCCTAAAAATACAAAAATTAGCCAGGCGTGGTGGTGGGCACCTGTAATCCCAGTTACTCGGGAGGCTGAGGCAGGGGAATCGCTTGAACCTGGGAGGCAGAGGTTGCAGTGAGCCGAGATTGCACCACTACATTCCAGCCTGGGCAACAGAGTGAGACTCTGTCTCAAAAAAAAAAAAAAAAAAAAAAAAAAAAAAAAAATTGTTTCATTTTCTAGCACAATCATTCCTTTAAAAAAAAAAAGAATTTTATGATGGAAATTTTTTTGTACTATCCAGACTAAGTATAAAGAAAATAACCTTTGTTATAACCCTTTTAAGTATTTAAAAATCAGGAATTAAAATGAATTATTAAAAAGATGGGAGAATTAGTTCAGCAAAGATAAATATTAAAAGGCAATATAAGCAATAACTAAAGAAAAGTGACTCATCAAGTTAATGTAATTAGTAAGAAAGGAAGATTGCATCTTGACAGTGTATTAGTGATGTGGTTGGTATGGTATAGTTAAAGCATTAAATTAACCGGAGTCATATTTAACCTTCATTTATATCCAAAAACTTGAGTACAGATGAATGAGTCACTGGTAATTACAACATAGCATTCAAAAAGGAACTGAGGGTTCCTAAAATTCAAGTATCTTTAGAATAAACACAGCTTGGAATGGAATGAAAAAGAACAGGAATATTAGTTTTTTTCTATCCTTACAATCATTCTCTAGATTTTTACATATACTCCCTTCCACCCACCATGGGTAGTATTTCCTGATTCTCCTAGAAAGTTTTCTCTAAATTCTTGCCAATGTAGCCTTTAAAAAAATAAAAAGTAAAGTTTTCTCTAAAAAAAGAATTGGAAATGTATTTCAAGATTGAGTAACCCAGAGAAATAAAATAATACAAGGCTAAATTAGTAGGTTGTACTTGCTTCCTAAATGATATATTAATAGCTTTAAATATCTATATATTTGAAAAAAAGTAGCTACAGGACAAACTAAGAAGAAAAGAAATACTAAAGATAGAAGCAAAATTAACGACATTGAAAACAGATGAACAATACATTTAACAAAGCCACAGTTGATTCTTTGAGGAGATTAATAAACCCCTAGCAAAACTGTAAGAAAAAATAAATAAATTATTCCTATCAGTAACAAACTAGGAGATATTATTATAGGTCTTACAGACATTAAAAGGATAATAAGGGCCAGGGCCTGTGGTTCACACCTGTAATCCCAGCACTTTGGGAGGCTGAGGTGGGCGGATCACCTGAGGTCGGGAGTTCAAGACCAGCATGACGAACATGGAGAAACCCTGTCTCTACTGAAAATACAAAAATTAGCCCAGTGTGGTGGCGCATGCCTGTAATCCTAGCTACTCAGGTGGCTGAGACAGGAGAATCACTTGAACCCGGGAGGCGGAGGTTGTGGTGAGCTGAGATCGTGCCATTGCACTCCAGCCTGGGCAACAAGAGCAAAACTCCGTCTCAAAAAAACAAAAACACGAAACAAAACAAAAAAGGATAATAAGGAAATACTATGAACAACTTTAAACCAATAGATGAAATCAACACATTCCTTGAGAAATAGAACTTACTAAAATGTACACAAGATGAAATAGAAAACCTGAGTAGCCCTATATCAAAGAAATGTGTTATTAAAAAAAATCTTTCTACAGGCCCAGCTACTTGAGAGGCTAAGACAGGAGGATACTTGAGCCCAGGAATTTGCGTTCAGCCTGGGCAACAAGGTGAGACCCCATCTCAAAAAAAAAAAAAAAAAAAACTCCAAAGAAAACTAGGTCCAGATTGCTTTATTCGTGAGTTCTATCAAACATTTAAGAAAGAAAAAGCTCCAATTATATGCAAACTTTCAGAAAATAAAAGAAAAAGGGAACACTTCCCTCCCACCTCTTTTTATGATGACAGTATCACCACAATACCAAAACTGGCCAAAGACATTTCAAGAAAAGAAAGTGACTGCCTAAATACATCATGAACATAGATGCAAAATCACTGAACTATTAGCTAATTGAATCCAGCAATATGCATTATGACCCAATAGAGTATCTCAGAATGCAAGGTTGTTTTTGCATTTAAAGTCAATTGTTACTATATTACCAGAAGAAAAATTTTGAAGTTAATATATGGAGATGGAAAAACAAAAATTCAAATGGTGCTAAAGGCCTACAAGTGAAAAGTTGTGTCCTTCTGCTCATTCCCTGCCCCTCAGTCCCCCTGTTTTCACCCCAGAGGAAACCACTGTTACCAGTTTCCTATGCATCCTTCCAGAAATTACCTATCATATACCGACACGTACACCTTCCCCAACAGCACACACAAATGGGGGAATACAGTACACACTTCACATATCTGGAAGATCGGCCCAGGTCAGTACAGATACCCCAGTCTCTTTTTGGCAGACCATAATTCATTTCATTTGCCTTGTAGTAATGGAAATGACAGTGATTTCCAGTTTGGGGCTATCACAGATGATGGCCAGGTATGGTGGCTCATGCCTATAATCCCAGCACTTTGGGAGGCTAAGGTAGGAGGATTGCTCGAGCCCAGGAGTTTGTGACCAGTCTGGGCAACATAGTAGGACACCATCTCTATAAAAAAAATTTAAAAATTAGCCAGGCTGGGTGGTATGCTCCTGTAGTCTCAGCTATTTGGGAGATTACTTACCCTAAAATAAGACATAAAACTTTATTTTAAAGCATTCCCATGAAATTTAACCTACAGATATGCTCTCATTCGAGCACTGAGATACTCACTGCATCATCATTTGGGTGTTTTGGGTTGGTTGGTTGGTTGGTTGTTTTTTGAGACAGGGTCTCCCTCTGTCACCAGGCTGGAGTGCAGTGGTGCAATTTTGGCTCACTGCAGCCTCTGCCTCCTGGCCTCAAACGATCCTCCCACCTCAGCCTCCCTAGGAGCTGGGACTACAGGCACGCACCACCAAACCCAGATAATTTTTTTATTTTTAGTAGATACAGGGTCTTGCCACATTACCCAGGCTGGTCTTGAATTCCTGGGCTCAAGCTATCCTCCTGCCTCAGCCTCCCAAAGTGCTGGGACTACAGGTGTGAGCCACTGCACGCAGCTCCCTTGCGAAGTCTAATTCCTAGTCATGGCTCAGCAGTGGCTCAAGGATGCCCACCTCTGTTTCTTTCCACCTTGCAACAGCCCCAGAAAAGCAACAAAAGGGACAATATCCTCCAATTACGAACTTCCTGAAGCTGGCTGAGGCAGAGGACCCCTTGAGTCCAGGAGTTTGAGACCAACCAGGGCAACATAGGGAGACCCTGTCCCCCACCTCAAAAAAACTAAGTCGACTTTTGAAATAGACCCAATTCTTTAAATAAGATCCCAGAATCTTCAGCTAGAAATAAGCTTAGAGATGATTTCCTGTTATTTTAAAAAGGAAGAAACTGAGGACCAGAGAGGGGAAGTGACTTGCTCTTGGCCACACAGCCAGTCCGTCCAGGTTTCTGCTTTCCAGACAAGACTCCTTCTTTATGGCTTCTCTCTCCATAGCTGCTGAGCTAATGGGCCTGTGTGGCTTGCCCAAATCTCTCTGGCTCTCACATCTCCCTGCCTGCTCAGTAGTCAGGAAGGAGAGACTGAAAGGAGGGTAAAGTGAGGCCCCACACCAGGTGAGAGGGTACCCTGAGAGTGGTTCTTGGGGAGGACACAGGAAGGCACTTAGCTAAAATGAAGGTTTGGGCTAAACACTGCATTTCACTTACTCAGAGACTTTGGACAGGTAGTGTTCCAAACCCCTCTAGAGTTCTTTCCTAGACCTGAGCTCACGTGTGTGACAGCTTGGCATGGTGAGCAGGAAGCCAGTGATAGCTGTGTTAACATTGCCTGAGCCCCAGAGAAACTATGTGTGAGCCTGGGCGGGGCAAGGGCTGGGAGTCCATGTTGCTTGAGCCAGCCTGCAGGGAGGCCCTCCAGGCTTTTTAGGAGTAGTAGAGGATGGGGAGGGGGCTTCCTTAGGAGGTGGTGGGGCCTCAGGGGTCCTGCATCCTGCCCACCTGCAGGGAGCTCCCCAATCCTGCCTGACATTGGAGCTCTGGGCAGCTCCTTTTCGGGCCCAGCTCATGTTCCTTTCTGGGGGACATGCCCTGGCTGGATGGTAACTGAAGACCCCCATCTCCTGTTAGAGATGGAAACTGACCGATAGCTTTTAGTGGGGCCCCTGCAGATGCATGTCAGGGCCCCTGCCTGGAAGCAAGAGGTGAATTCTGGGAAGGGATTTGCAGTTCCCTAAACTCACTTCTGTTTGCCTAGGGGCCCTCAGACCTGCTGTATGCCCTGCCTGAGATAGCTCAGCCTCCAGCCCCACCTCCTTTAGCTGGATAACTTATCTTCACAAACTCAGCCCAGTCATAACCTTCTCTGGGAGATCGTCCCTGAGCCTCTGACTCCCAAAACTCCCTGTACTTCCCCTTAGAATTTAGCCCCACATACTGAAATAGTTGATTTGCGTTTATGTGTGTGTGTGTGTGTGTGTGTGTGTGTGTGTGTGTAGTTAAGTTTTATAAATCTTCTATCTGTCTTTGTTGTTGTTTTAGAGACAGGGTCTTGCTCAGTCGCCCAGTCTGGAGTGCAGTGGTGTGATCTCGGCTCTCTGCAGCCTCGACCTCCCAGGCTCAAGTGATCTTCCCACCTCAGCTTCTGTAGCTAGGGCTACAGGCTCACACCACCATACCTGGTTCATTTTCTAATTTTTTGTAGAGTTGGAGGTCTCCCTATGTTGCTCAGGCTAGTATGGAACTCCTGGGCTCAAACAATCTGCCCGCCTCAGCCTCACAAAATGCTGGGATTACAGGTTTGAGCCACTGTGCCCAGACATCCCAGATGTGTTTGAAAAGAACATGTATTCTCCAGCTGTAGGGTGCAGTGTACTATGCAGGGCCCTCATATTAAGCTTCTAAATTCTATTGTTCAAATCTTTTCTTCTTTAAATTTTTTTTATTTTTTGAGACTGAGTCTCACTCTGTCACCCAGGCTGGAGTACAGTAGCACAATCTCAGCTCACTGCAACCTCCGCCTCCAGAGTTTAAGCGATTCTCTTGCCTCAGCCTCCTGAGTAGCTGGGATTATAGGTGCCTGCCACCACGACCGGCTACTTTTCATATTTTTAGTAGAGATGGGGTTTCTCCATGTTGGCCAGGCTGGTCTTGAACACCTGACCTCAGGTGATCCACCCGTCTCAGCCTCCCAAAGTGCTGGGATTATAGGCATGAGCCATCACGCCCGCCCTCTTTTTTTCTTACTGATTTTTTGTCGTTGTTGTTGTTGTTGGAGGTACTCAGGATTTTATTTTTATTTCTCACGTCTCTTCCATCTGGCTGTTTATTGGCATCCTTTAAATTTTCCTTTGTAATAAATCAGGAATAATAAGTAAGCATTCCCTGGGTTTGTGAGTCATTCTAACAAATTATTGTAATTGCCTGATAAGTGCACAGACAAAATCAATTCACTGAGACTGAGGTATTGCAGTAAACGGAGTTATTACTCAAATCAGTCTCCTGACTTTTTGTTGTTGTTGTTACTGTTGACTTGATCTATAAATTACTGGGAGAGGTGTATTAAAGTCTCCTAAAGTTGAACTTGTCCATTTCTCCTTGCAGGGTTGTCAGTTTTTGCATTATAAATTTTGAAGCTATCTTATCAGCTGCATATAGGCTTTTGTTATATCTTATCTAATTCTGCCTTTTATCAATGTGTCCTCTATTTGTAATGAGAGCCCGATTCTCACCACCCCCCTCAACTTATTTCATGTGCATTTCCCTTTGAAAAATTTAAAGGGCTGCATGGATAAACCACAATTTAACTTTTTGTCTATTATTGGACATTGTTTCTAATTTTTCATTTTTATAAACCACACTGAAGTGAGCATCTTTGTATGCAATTGTTTCTGATGATTTCCTCCTCTGGGTAGATTTCTTGTAGTGGAATTACAAGGTTAGGCTGTATGAACATTTTAAAGACTTTTCATATATGTTGTTCCTTCATGGCTGTTGATGAAATTAGAATTTTTGGTGCCTGTGTCACCCAATTGGCTCCTGTTGAGCTATCTGTTCCCAAAATCCCTCAGTGTTTTTGACTTGGTCTTTTTTTTTTTTTTTGTCCCTCACCCAATATGTGTGCACTTGGCAGACTTTATGTGTCATTTGGAACTTGCATTACTCCTCTTACAATTTAATCCGTTAGATTGGGCCCGTCCCTCCAAACCGTAAGTCTCTCCCAGCCTCTGACCAGCAGAGTGTCGGCCATGATGCAGGGGCCGTGTCTTCTGTAGCTTTGCTCCAGTCAGTTATGGAAATAGTGAGAACAGAACTCCATGGCAAACCACTGGAAACAAGCCCATGGGGATATCAAGTTCTTTTTCAATGAGGCTAATAGTTAATAGTTTATTAAACATTTACTATGCACTAGGCACTACATATATGTTAACTCATTTGATTGTTACGACAAACTCCAAAAGTAGATATTATGGTCTCTATTTTAAGATATGGGAATTGAAATTCAGGGAGAGAGGAAGTCTGTCCAACTGGTCACCCTGCTACTGGGTGAGCAGATCAGGATTCCAACCTCTCAGACTTGGGTTCTGGTCCGAAACCCAAATGGCCAGCCCTGTTCTACAGGAATCTACCACCAGGTGGCGGTAGAGCCAATGGGCCCAGGAACAACCTCTCTGAGATCTGAAATTAGCCACAAAACTGCCTTTTTTTCCTATAAAAAGTAGCGCTGACTTTTATTGACAGTAACTAAAACTAGATTATTCAATAAAATAAATATTAACCTAACAGGCACATTCCTCTGGGTAAAACGATAATAAAGTAAGCAGACCTTTGAACTTGGACCTTTCAAGCCTAGATTTCATCAATATAATTCCTCAGGGGAAAATCTCTTTTTCTAAGTCACCCACACTTGGGCAATTCTCCCTGATTTTCTGCCCATTCTTTGCTGCCTCTGCCCTCTGCACTAGCACACTCCTAGCAGTAATCAAAGCTATAGGAAGACCTTCAACTGGGAAAGCGTATCAGAATTTGAGGCAAGAAATTTAGAGAGTGGGATGTTGGTGGGCAGTGAATGGTCCCCAGGAGATTCGAATATACCCTTCTAGGGGGCATAGGTGGGCATTCCTGGTTCTGGAGAGAATCTCAGATTCACCATCTATCCAGGCACCCTTCAATCTTCCAGCCTGGGAGGAAGGACGTGCCTCTTTCTTTTCTTCAATCTCCCCATCACATTTTGAGATTTTTCTGCTCCACTTTAGAAAAAAAAAAGAAGGTTTTATTTTTTAAACTCTTCCCCTTTCCTTTTTTTTAGCGTTCCTGTCTGTACAAACACTGGTGCTTTGCTTGTCCATTTTCCACTCTTGCTGGGCAGCATCTTTTTCAAACCATTTGAACATACATTCAAATTGTTTCACCATGTTGTGGGTATTGTATTTCAATGGAATTGGAATATGAAAAGGCCTTTTTTTTTCTTTGTCTGAGACAGCATCTCGCTCTATCACCGAGGCTAGGGTGTGGTGGCAGGATCATAGCTCACTGCAGCCTCCACCTCCTGGGCTCAAGCCATCCTTCCGCCTCAGCTTCCTGAGTAGCTGGGACTACAGGCACGTGCCACCACACCTGGCTAGTTTTGTTCATTTTTTGTAGAGATGGGGTTTCACTGTATTGCCCAGGCTGGTCTCGAATTCAAGCAGTCCTCTTCCCCCGGCCTCCCAAAGCTCTGGGATAACAGATGTGGGCCACCGTGCCCAGCAATTGAAAAGGACTTTTAAAACATCCTACCATGTTTTGGTTCTGCCTGGATGGACCAGTGTTTCCCCCTAGCCCTCCCCCAGCAGTGTCCCAGGCATGAGTTGACTGCCTCCCAGTGCCCTGTCCTCACACTGAAGGGAGGGTCCCTCTGCTCCATGCACAAAGGTGAGCTCCTGACTGGCACCAGAGTTAGGGACCTCCAGGTGGGGCTGGTCCTAGAACAGTAGCCAAGACTGAGGCTCTAGGCTGCAAATCAGGGGATTCTGAAGTCACATTCAGGCCTGGTTGGACTCCTGGCTCCACCTCTTACAAGTTCCATGACTTGTCAGTTACTTACCTTTACTGAGCCTCAGATTCTTCAGGGCAAAGTGTGGATAGCACCTGCTTTGCAGAACTATTATATTAGATACAATTGGCCAGGTGTGGTGGCTTATACTTGTAATCCCAGCACTTCGGGAGGCTGAGCCAGGCGGATAACTTGAGGTCAGGAGTTCGAGACCAGCCTGGCCAACACAGTGAAACCCCATCTCTACTAAAAATACAAAAAATTAGCTGGGCGTGGTGGCGCATGCCTGTAGTCCCAGCTACTCTGGAGGCTGAGGCAGGAGAATCACTTGAATCCGGGAGGTGGAGGTTGCAGTGTGCCAAAATTGCGTCACTGCACTCTAGCCTGGGTGACAGAGCAAGACCCTACCTCAAAAAAAAAAAAAAAAAGAAAAAAGAAATGTTATATTAGATACAATAATGACAATAAATGCATGTCAAGTGTGCCTGGTAGGTATGTGCTAGGTAAATAACGTTGGCTATTGTTCAATGGAGTAAGGGATCTGGGACATCTCACAGAATCATGGAATGTTATTGCTGGTGGTCCCATAAGATCATAGGCTAGTTCTCTTAAATAACCAAATAGCTTGCTTTACCCACTTGAATGAAAACAACAAATTATTTTTTAAGGTCTAAAGAAGTGACTCCATGTTCCCAACACACTAATTATTTAAAATGTCCTTTTTACAAGGAGTGGTCTCTGTTAAAAAAAAAAAAAAAAAGTCCTCACTGGAACTCCTCCCATAGTCAATCTAGGGAACCCTGGGTGCTTCCTAGTCATGGTTACTTCACCTCCCTGAGAAGAAACAAAGAGGCCTAAAAGGCCACTCTTTGTCGTGGCTGCGGCCAACAAGCAGTTGGCCAATAGTGCACCATGTCCACTTGGGAACTGTCTTGAGGGCGGGGACCTTGTCTCCGCAGGAAGCTTCCAGGCTACTGAGACCTGCCTCTCATGCCACAGTGGTTTCTCGGGGCTCAAAATGGGGACAAGGACTCCTCTGCACGGTTGTAGTTAGCCTAGACCTAGCCTGGGCTCCATGGCCACAGAGTTTTGGAGACTGAGCTCTTTGAACTCATGCACACACAATGGGTCACAAGCCAGGCCCCAACCAGCTTGAGCCAGTTCTCCCCATGATTCAGGAGAAGGAGCTCCAAGAACTCTTGGCATCACCTTGAAGTGAGAGGCTGTCCCTCACTGCAGTTGCCAGCAAAAACCAAAATGGCCACTCAGTGATGCCACAAGTCTCCCTTCTAACTAAACAGGACCAGCTCACCCCAGGCCAGAGCTGGTTCCTGTCCTTCCAGCACCTCCAAGTCCAATTCCCAAAGCCCCAGAGCGGGTCCTTCCTCTCCTGTCCCAAGGGCCGTCTCATTTCCTGTCCTGATTCCTCTTCCCAGCAGGGCCTCCCATTTCCCTGAGGAGAAACCACCCTGCTGTTACCCTCATAGGTATTTAGATGAGAAAACTGAAGCCTGAGAGAGGAAAGGTAACTTTGCCAAATGCACGCAGCTGGTTAGCAGGTGAAACCACATGTCCTGACACCAACTTTAAGCACTTTCCCCAACCATAGTGGGCCCAGATTCAAATAGGGACATTGGGAGGAAGAGGTATGGGTCAGGGGTTAGAGGTCAGGGGTCAGACAGGTGGGTAAAATCAGGGTGTTGAGGAGAGTGGTGCTGGCAGCTGAGTGAGTCTGCAATTGGTAACGGGTGGAAATGAGTAAGGGCCGATGCCCCCGGGATGCTGGGTTTTCATTTTAGAAGGAACTTCCCTTATGAGCTGTGCAATTAGGTTTTCAATGAATCAGAAATACTTTTTTGAGGATTAGAAGGAAATACCCAGTGCTGGCCCACAGGCTGTAGGGCTGTTTAAAAACGAAAACCAAAACCATAAAGCCCGGGCTATGAATTTCAGTCATTTGCACGTGAGCTGCCATTAATTTGTAGATTCTCTTTTAGAGCACTAACTAGGTGCACATAAAATTAAATTAACTAATTAACACAAATGTCTGCAACTGCTCTCAGGGTGATCACTCACGGAGGGAGCACACCTAGTAACTTTCAGACCAAGTTCTCCTTTTCCCAGACAGCTGCATAAATGTGGGGCTACAAAAAGCCCAAAGACGAACATGAACTCAACAACGCCATCCCAGAAGCCCCCATGCAGATGATGGGGCCAACAGAGCAATATGCTATCAGTGCTGACCTTGCTAAGGCCTGACCCCTCACTCCTGGAAAATCTTAGACCCTTTCTTAGGATACTCTTTCCTGATTGGAACGGGGAGCAGCGTAGAATACCTGCATCAAGATGCTTGGATACAGGTGAGCAATGAGGGAATTTACTACAACTTGGAAGTGGAGTGCCTCGGGGTTGCAGGGTCAGGCAATCCAGCTGCCCAGAGCATTTCATCATAGACTCTGAGAGAAGAAATCTAGAGAAGAGAGCTGTTGCTTGAGGTGCCAGCTCCTTCTACCTTCAGGCGGTGAATCTCCAAGTGTGGTACTCCAAGTGTGGTACTGGGCCAGCAGAATCTGCTCCACCTGGGATCTTGTTAGAAAGGTAAATGCTCAGCCCCAACCAGACCTGCTGACTCAGAAATGGGGTGGGGCCCAGCGCTCTGCGTTTTAACAAGCACTCTGGGTGATTTGGATGCAGGCTCCAGTTTGAGAATCTCTGCCCTAAGGCATCCTGGGGCTGTAGTATTAACAATAATAGTTTTGTGGCTAAGGGTGTGGACTTTCCGCAGACAGATCTGTAATCCCAATGCTGGCTTTGCTTTGGGCGGGTCTTGGGTGAGACCAAGGGTGCAGACTGGAAGGAGGCCCATGCTCTCTGGGTCACACAGACAGATGGGCACCCGACAGCGAGGGCCTCACCTGTCTCATCCCAGTCCCAGCCCTGTCTTCCTACTGGAGAGGTGTGTGACCTTGGACCCCACAGAACTAAGGTCTGGTTCTGTTGTTCTGCAGGCGGGGCCTGGGAATGTGCATTTTAAGAGCTCCCCAGTTATTCTGATCCGCCAACCTTGGAAATTGCTGAGTTATCCTCTCTGAATCTCCGTTTTCTAACTTGTAAAAAGGGGTAACGTAAAAAGGGGTATCTGTAAAGCACTAATTAGGGAAAAGGAATGAGGCTGGCGGGATCAGGGGAAAGCAAAAAGAAAAAGCAGATAAGCTATGAGTCTGCCTTTCTTCATGGACCAGGACACACAGCCCTCCTGTGCAGATAACTCACAATCTTGCTGCACCCAACTATCACCAGACACCTGCAAGTTAGCTCACTGCAACGTTGGTGTTATCAGCACTGCACAAGCCCTCTTCAGCACACAGCACAAGCACCATCCTATAAAGTCTGCAGCAAGCCTTTATCTCCTTGCAGTCAGTTCCTCTCTTGCTAACTTGCCCATTGCTTTCTTGCAGCGTATTTTCATACTTTCTCTAATAAATCTGCCTTTCTTTACCTACAACTGACTTGTTAAATTCTTCTTACTGCCCGCACCGCCAGCCCAGATAGTCACTGATCTGCGACAGTAACAACCCCCCGGGAGTTGTTTTGGGGTTAAATAAAATAGTGAATGTACGGCATTTAGCATTATTCCACAGTGATTGCAAGGGAGCAATAACCAGTGGGCTGGGGGAGTCTCCCAAATACTGGTGGGATCTCGTCCCCAGCTAGTGTCTGGGCTGTTGATACCATCACGAGAAGAAATTCAAGGATGAGTCAGAAAATAGTGAAAATACAGAGATATATTGCAAAGTGAAGGTACACACTCAAGAAAGGGGATTGTGGGCAGACTCAAAAGGGTCACACTAGGAGGTTTGGGATTTCTACCTTTATGGGTTTCTTTAACCAAGCGGTGGAATATTCATGAAAATTCCTGGAAAAAGGTGGAGATTTTTTGAAACTGTGGTGCTACCCATTTTTATACTAAATATGGGTGTTCTGGGAACTGTCATGGCACTGGTGGGTGTCTGATTTGTGTGTTAATGAGCAGATAATGAGGTTCTAGGAGAAATCTAGGTCAAATCCAGCGCCATGTTGGGTCCAGTCAGTCTTAGCCAGCTTGGTCCACATGCTGGTTTTCAGTGTTTTATCAGTCCCTAGTTTCTGCAGCTATTTCAACAGTTTCCTTTTGGTTAGTCATGTGAAATTGCTGCCTGGAATTTTCTCCTCTCCTGCGACCACCCTGTATTATAACTTTCTCAGGAGGAATTCCCTGGGTTGTAGTGTGGGGCTGCCAAAAGGGCCTGGGTTCATCCCAGCATTTTTGTGATCTTGATCCACCTTAGCCTTTCAGCCTGTGGGCAAGGAGGTGTGAGGGTTTGGCAACCCTTTTCTTACTGGGAATCTGGTTTCAGATTCCTTTGGTAGGTGGGATGGTCTGAGGCCTCTCCAGAAGAGAAGCTTCAAGTTGTCTGACCTAATGACATTCTACAGAGGCCTAGGGATACAGTGCAGGCTGTCCACCAAGCCCAAGCAGGAAAGTCAGTGTTGCTGTTGACTTGAAACATGAGTCAAAATGAAAGGAGAGTGAGAGCAAACATTTGTGGAATACCAGCTCAGCACAGATTCACTCACGCTCTTCATTTCATTGAACTCTCCTAACAATCTGTGAAGTAGGTATAATTATTTATTATCGTCCTCCACATTTTACAGATGAAGACACTGAGGTTCAGAGTGGCTCACCTGCTCCAAAGCCAGGTTCTTTGCCTTGCACTGGTGGTGTTCAAATCGTGTTCTGCAGAACCCAGGGCATTTATGTCATTTTAGGGGTCACTATGGGAGGCAGGAAACAGTCCCCAGGTCTCTTCAACTGGGGCATAGCCTCTAGCTAGTTTAAACCTTCAAATAAAATTCTGCCAGGATTTTTCAGTATTGAAAAAAATTTTGAAAAATTATTGCTCTGTGCAATATGCCTGAAGTCTAGCCAATCCTGGACTCAGTGTCATGCGATCTGAATGTGAGGTTCTTGGGACTTCAGATTTAACTGAGGACTAATGTGAAAGATATTTGACATCTAAGTGATCATGAAACAGAGTTCCCATACCTCCTACATTTTTTTTTTTAATAACTGAGATAAGGTCTTGCTATTTGCCCAGTCTGGTCTAAAACTCCCGGGCTCAAGTGATCCTCCTGCCTTGACCTCCCAAAGTGCTGGGATTACAGGCGTGAGCCACCATGCCCAGCCAATACACCTTAAATTTTAAAAAGAAAATTTAAAGAACCAGTTCCACATCTTTTGTACTTTGCAGGCATATCGGGGATATAAAAAGGCAGTAGACTGTGGAGAGGGAGAATGCCTTGCAGAGAGATTTCCTTGGAGAGATCTGTGGCCATGCTGAATCCCCCGTTCCCGCTAGTGGGACGGAAGGGAGGTGCTATCTACTGTGCCTAAAACCTAGTGGGAAAGGCTTCCAAGTGTCAACTGAAAAATGGAGATTCATACATTTGGAAAGGAGAATTTCATTTCTCATAAAGTGTTGCAGCCTGCAGAGTGGCCATGTTGACAGGCCGGGAAGTGTAGCCTCCAACCAGAAGCTGGAAACAGACACTTTGAGGGTGGGAAGAATAAGACAGGGATTTATGCTGACCAAGGTGGCCAAATCTACATATTCAATAAGCTATAGGAGGAGTCATGAATATTTATGAAAGGAGAAGTGTATGCATGTTCAATTGAGCTTCATGCCCCTTCATGTGTCCCTTGTACAAAAAATGTCAGCCTTAGCATGACCTGAGGGTGGAGTTTACGGTCCTCTGATATCAAAATGTGAAGCAGAGGACACAAAAACCCTCTGTGCGTGTCCTCTGTAGACTGGCAAGGTTGGGGGTCCCTTATTAAACAGAAAAGGAGGGGCAGTGTCAGGCGGTTGGTTAATATCAGTAGAGGAGCCTTTTTTTTTCTTTCCTCTAGAAAAACCAGAAAAAAATTGATGGAATCTTTTGAAAGGGCTGGCTTCAGTTTAGCCCTTAGGGAAGAAAACCATTAGGCAGTTAGTGGGGAAGCGGATATAACAAGGCGTGTTCAACCTCCCATCCTGCCAGAGCAGGCAACTCAGATTCCAAAGTTTCTCTGGGGTTCCCTTGGCCAAGAGATGGTTCATTCAGTTGGGGGTGCTTGGAATTTTATTTCTCATATGGGGCTACTTGCAGAGCTTACCAAGTGTTTCAGTTACCTGTTGCTGCAAACACACACACACACACAACTACAAAAATTAGTGCCTTAAAACAGTAATTATTGGCCAGGTGCAGTGGCTCACGCTTGTAATCCCAGCACTTTGGGAGGCCGAGGCAGCGGGAAGATCACCTGAGGTCAAGAGTTCTAGACTAGCCTGACCAACATGGTGAAACCCCATCTCTACTAAAGATACAAAAATTAGCCAGGCATGGTGGCACACCCCTGTAGTCCCAGCTACTTGGGAGGCTGAGGCACAAGAATCACTGGAACCCAGGAGGCAAAGGTTGCAGGGAGCCAAGATTATGCCACTGCACTCCAGCCTGGGCAACAGAGGAAGGCTCCATCTCAAAAAAAGAAAAAAAAAAAAAAAACAACCACCAATTATTGATTTGCTCACAATTTTACAATTGGGTTCAGTGGGGACAATTTGTCTCTGCTCCACATGGTGTGGGCTCCACAATGGCTACCTCACATTTGGTGCTGGCTGATGGCTGGAAGGTTGGCTGGGATTGTTGGCTGAGGGGCTTGGCCCTTCCACATGTGGCTGCCTGGGCTTCCTCACAACATGGAGGCTGGCTTCCAACCGGGAGGAGTGAGAAGCTGCCAACCCTCCTGAGAATGAAAACAAACTTTTAATCTGGGGAATGTGAATCTCCTCTAAACTGTCAGGCCCAGAGAGGCATAGGAATGAGGCAGCCGTTGTGTCCCACATCCCCCTTGAGCTAAGCTGCTTGTAGTGTGGGCTCTAGACTGCCTGTCACCAAAAGTAGTTATAAACTTCTTTATCTTTTTTTTTTCTTTTTTCTTTTTTTTTTTTTTTGAGAGGGAGTCCCACTCTGTTGCCCAGGCTGGAGTGCAGTGGCACGACCTTGGCTCACTGCAACCTCTGTCTCCCAGGTTCGAACGATTCTCCTGCCTCAGCCTCCTGACTAGGTGGGATCATAGGCATGTGCCACCACGCCTGGCTAATTTTTGTATTTTTAGTAGAGATGGGGTTTTGCCATGCTGGCCAGGCAGGTCTTGAACTCCTGACTTCAGGTGATCCACCCACCTCGACTTCCCAAAGTGCTGGGATTACAGGCGTGAGCCACCCTGCCTGGCCTAAAAGTAGCTATAAATTAATCTAACAATTTGGCACACTGGACACCATCACTCATACTCTATGGCTCAACAATGTATGTCCAAACACCAATCAATCTTATTTCTGTAAACCAATGAGAATTCCTGACAAGCAGCTTTGTATCAGCTCACTCCTTGTCACCTTTTTTTGCCTTTAAAAGCCTGCTTGTAACAAAGGTTGAACAGAGCTCAGCTCCACGGTTTCTTGGGACTGAGTCTTCGAGGTTCTCATCTTAGCTCAAATAAAATAAAAGATCATATTTTGTGCATCAGCCTCTTCCTTTAGGTCAACACTCTTAAAGGCTAGAAGTGGTGCAGACTCACTTCCACCACACGCTGTTGGTTAAGCAGCCACGGTCTAGCTCAGATTCAAGGGGGGGTGTTATAGACTCCACTTCTGGATAGCTGGGTGCCATGCATGTAACAGAGGGAAGAACTGATGGTGGCTCTCTTTGGAAACAGTGATCACACGATCACACCAGGAGGCCTCTGGTGTTGAGGGGGTGCACAGGAGCCTGGGGCCTGATTCCCTTCTCCAGAGTATGACAGACAGATGAGCTGACTTAAGCTTTGTAGGACAGCCAGAAGCTTGCTGGTATCTTAGGATCGTCTCAGATTTCATTTCATTTCATTGGAACAAAGTGTTAAAAGAAAATCCTTAGCCAAATTAAATTTAACAGAATGTAATTGAGCAAAGAATGATTTACGAATCAGGCAGTCCCCTGAGCCAGAGTAGGCTCAGAGAGACTCCAGTGCAACCACGCGGTGGAAGAAGATTTCTGGACAGAAAAAGGAAAGTTACATGCAGAAAACAGATGCGAGGTACAGAAATAGCTGGATTGGTTACAGCTTGGCATTTGCCTTATTTGAACATGGTTTGAACAGTTGGCCCCCTTTGATTTGATTGGTCAAAATTTGGTGATTGGCACAAGAGTAGAATACAGTCTGCTTACACCTTCATTTAGATTATAGTTCACTATGTCCAGAGAAACCTTTAGGCTGAACTTAAAATATGTAACGAGGCAATTTGAGGCTAAACTTGATTGAACAAATCTTCCCTTTTGGTCATCCTTTCAACTGGGAGAGGATGGCCAAAACTTAAGTCATTGATGTCACTATCACTATTGTAACTGTACTTACTTGGTTTTGAAACCTACTGGGAATTAGTAGAACAGTGGGTTTTATAAGGTGGGAACAAGGACTTCAGGCTTTTTTGTAAGACTTAGAGTAGAGGATACCTCCTTGTGCTGGAATGTCCTGTTTATGGGAGAAAAACAAAATCTGGTCTGTTCTAGGGTCTATCATGTTTCCTTAAAGTCTTAGTTTGATTATATCACATTTAGCATGAATAACTCCATTTTGGTTTGATCTGGTCTGATGGGGCCCAGTGCATGAGCTTAGTCCAAAACAATGGCCTCCCATAATTTTGTTTAAAATTTCCCTGCTTTTGGTCAGGTTCTCACTTAGGTGAGAGTGTGACCAAAACTTAGGGCCTTAGCGCCACTCTGTGACCAGTCATTCTGGGTTTCTGGTCTCAGCATGTCATTCGTAGGTTACAGTGCCCTCATGGTCACACAGTTATTTCAGCTCTTGTCAGGAGGATAATACCAAGAGTTTAGAGTATGCTCCCTAGCCAATGTTCCCATGAACCAAACCAATTAAAATCAAATAGATCAAAGAATGAGCTAGATAAAGAGTCTACTCACTTTAACCAAGCAGCCTGTTCATTAATCCCCTACAACTAAATCTCTGTAATACCTGATTTATTTCTCCATGGGCAACAAGAAATGCCAGTAATGGCACAGATGCTACTCTGTTTGGCTAGTAGGTAATCTGGAGCAATTCTATTATTTAGCAGAACTTTCACAAGATAATTTTTTTAACTTTTAAGTTCGGGGGGTACACACAAGAGAATTTAAAGTCTGGCCACATGGTGGCTCACGCCTGTAATCCCAGCACTTTGGGAGGCCAAGACAGGCAGATCTCTTGAGGCCAAGGAGTTTGAGATCAGCCTGGCCAACATGGTGAAACCCCATCTCTACGAAAAGTACAAAAATTAGCCAGGCATGGTGGCACGTGCCTGTAGTCCCAGCTACTCGGGAGGCTGAGGCACAAGGATTGTTTGAACCGGGCAGGCAAAAGTTACAGTGAGCTTAGATCACACCATTGCACTCCAGTCTGGGTGACAGAGTGAGAGTCTGTCTCAAAAAAAAAAAAAAAAAAAAAAAAAAATCTGGTGTGTAACCATAGCTAATACGGTTTGGATTTGTGTCCCTGTCTAAATATCATGTTCAAATTGTAATCCCCAACGTTGGAGGAGGGACCTGGCGGGAGGTGGTTGGATCATGGGGGCAGACTTCCCCCTTGCTGTTTTCATCATAAAGAGTGAGTTCTCATGACATCTGGTTATTTAAAAGTGTATGGCAAAAGTGTATGTGCCATACACCTCACCCTTCTCTCTCTCCCTCCTGCTCTGGCCATGTAAGATGTGCCTCCTTCCTCTTCGCCTTTCACCATGATCATAAGATTCCTGAAGTCTCCTAGCCATATTTCCTGTACAGCCTGTGGAACTGTGAGCCAATTAAACCTCTTTTCTTTATAAATTACCCAGTCTCAGGTAGTTCTTTTTTTTTTTTTTTTTTTTTTTTTGAGACAGAGTTTCGCTCTGTTGCCCAGGCTGGAGTGCAGTGGCGCAATCTTGGCTCACTGCAAGCTCCGCCTCCTGGGTTCACGCCATTCTCCTGCCTCAGCCTCCTGGGTAGCTGGGACTACAGGCGCCTGCCACCACACCCAGCTAATTTTTTGTATTTTTAGTAGAGACAGGCTTTCACCATGTTAGCTAGGATGGTCTCGATCTGACCTCGTGATCCGCCCTGCCTCCCAAAGTGCTGGGATTACAGGTGTGAGCCACCGCACCCGGCCTTAGGTAGTTCTTTATAGCAATTCAAGAATGGACTAATACAATAGCCTTTCCAGTAGAATCTGCTATAGAGCCTATCATGAAGGGTAAATTTCTAATCTTTGCTTCATTTACTCTAAACCATGGGGAAAAGAGACCTAACAAATGATGCCCATCTAGAAAAACAAAGACCTCCTGGCAATGTCCTCTTTAACCCATGGTGTAGGTTAGGAAGAGTGGATCAATGTTATGTTTCTGACTGCTGATGAGGCAACAAATGTACCATTAAAATTTCTCTCTACTTTGGGCCTTCATCTTCCATCTATCGAGGCATAAGATTGTGCATGTATAAAGCTGGTTGCAAAATCCTTCACAAATAAAAGTATACCCCATGAGTGCATACAATAGACCACCTTTTCACTTTTGTTGTTCATAGATGCAAAGCAAAGGGAAAAATTGACAGATAAGAGCCTCATGATAGCAGAGAAGTCTTGATTCATGATCTTGGGGAAAAGCTGTCCAAGTCAAGGATGCTGTCTTCTTCTGGGGAGAAACTTCCCTGGTAAGCTTTACCTTAAGGTTTCCAATGGGCGTACAGTTCCAAGAGTGTAGAAGGGCCTTTCTGAGTTGTGAGATAATGAATCCAAGGTTCAAGGTCCTGAAGTTTTGCTGCAGTGTAGATGGCAAGGGCGGTTTGTTTCTGATGTTCTCAGAACCTGAACTCATCTTCAGGTCCTATATTGTGAAGAAGTTGATTGTCCTAGTCAGAGGACCATGAAAAGCTCTCTTTACCTGGTGAAAATACACTTTGGCATAATGAGCTGCTGTTATAACAGCCCTCTTGCATGGGAAAGCTTTAATATAACCAGAAGACATGCATTGAAAATGACAATCAGGCCAGGAACAGTGGCTCACACCTGTAATCCCAGCACTTTGGGAGGCGGGTGGATCACCTGAGGTCAGGAGTTTGAGACCAACCTGGCCAACATGGTAAAATCCTATCTTTACTAAACATACAAAAATTATCCAGTCATGGCTGCACACGCCTGTAATCCCAGTTACTCAGGAGGCTGAGGTGGGAGAATTGCTTGAATCCGGGAGGCAGAGGTTGCAGTGAGCTGAGATCATGCCACTGCACTCCAGCCTGGACCACAGAGTGAAATTCCATCTCGAAAAACAAAGAAAATAACAATCAGACTGGGCATGGTGGCTCATGCCTGTAATCCTAGCACTTTAGGGGGCTGAGGCAGGCAGACTGCTTGAGCTCAGGAGTTTGAGACCAGCCTGGCCAACATGGTGAAACCCTGTCTCTACAAAAAAAAAAAAAAAAAAAAAATTAGCTGGGCGTGGTGGCACATACTTGTAGTCTCAGTTACTCAGCAAGCTGAGGCAGAAGGATTGCTTGAACCTGGGAGGTGGAGGTTGCAGTAAGCTGAAATTGTGCCACTGCCCTCCAGCCTGGGTGACAGAGTAAGAGATGCTGTTAATAATAATAATAAGAAAATGGCAATTGAATGAAATCCCGCTATAAATGATTAAATGCCCATCAGATAGCAGAAATGTATCTGAAGTTTTGATTGTCTCACCAGGAATGTGGGTTTGCCAAACCAAATATTGGTTATAAGCTATTTCTGGAATTTATTTATTCTTTATATTTTATAGAGACAGGGTCTCACTATGTTGCCCAGGCTGGCCTCGAAGTCCTGGGCCTGTGATAGTTCCACTATGGCCTCCTAAATTGTTGGGATTACAGGTGTGAGCCACTGTGCCCAGCCTTTTTTTAGAAATTTGGAACAGTCACCACACCAATATCTATATTTAATTTGGATCATTTTATCTCTTCCATGATGAGTCACAAAATGCAGAGATTTTAATAACGAAAGCTTTAAGGACTCAGGAAGGACAAGGAAGCTATCCAGAGTCTCCATGAGTCCATACTTAACACCGGTCTTAGGTCCTCTTAATTACCAGTTATTTTTCCAATTTAGGTGCATAGCACTGATAACTGGTGGGTTATCATAGGTAATTTGACTTGGACCATGTAGTTCATTCAAATTGTATATCTAAATAATTTCTGATTTAGTGTGAAAATCTGGCAAAGTATTTTCTTGGTATTCAATTAGTTTTTGTCCTGCTTGGTTTGGCAGCTTCATGAACCAGTCACTCTCTTTATTAGAGTTCTGGGAATTCTTACTCAGTCCAAATGATATGATCTAAAGTTATCAGAAATCTGTATTCAAGAGTGCTTTTCACAATCCTTTCCATCCTTTCATGAACCTCCTTAAAGACTCAATACTCAGCCAGGCACAGTGGTTCATGCCTGTAATCCCAGCATTTTGTGTGGCCAAGGCAGGCGGATCAGTTGAGGACAGAAGTTTGAGACCAGCCTGGCCAACATAGTGAAATCCCATCTCTACTAAAAAATACCAACATTAGCCAGGTGTGGTGGCTCACACCTGTACTCCCAGCTACTTGGGAGGCTGAGGTTGCAGTGAGCCAAGATCATGCCACTGCATTCCAGCTTAGGCAACAGAGCAAGACCTTGCCTCAAAAAAAAAAAAAAAAAAAAAAGACTCAGTAGTCTAGGATTTTGCATGCTTCTGAAGTTTTCAGGAAAACTGCACCAGAAGTAAGCAGTTAACTGTGGAAATGACTTTAAATGGTCATAGTTAAAGACACAATTGATACGGAAATTTGGTTATATCTGTGGCCTACAAAAACTTAACATGATGACCATAAGTATGACTGATAGCATATACCCAGACATATTAGAATTTTAGAAATCCCATATAATTTTGGAACAGATATTAATAGCATATTCATTTAAATATAACTTGAAGAAGATTAAACATCTTTTTTTAAACATCATTTCTTATTTGACAGTGCTTCCCATGTAATGTAATATGGAAAATAATCCTGTTTCTCTCTCTTTTGGATATTTCAGGAACCAACTGTAGCATCCCAAAGTTAGAGGTCAAAAAAGACTTAATTTTGAAGCTGATATTTGATTTTGGGAAGCCTATTAAATATGTCAAAGGTTTAAAACACTTGACCAAAATAGCATCACAGGTCACCGTAAAATAATAGTTATTTATTTAGCCAAAGTGATAATTAAAAGATTTCTTAAAAAACCCAAAACCTGTAGTCTTAGATACAGGAGACTCAGTTTTCTGAACAATCAAAAGACCTGAAAAAGACTGTATGAGACAGAATCTGTCTCTTCTCTTCTTTCTTTATTCTTTTTGCAGTTTACTCAAAGGATGAACAAAAATATTTTATTGTCTTATTAATACTACATGACATTTTTGTTCAAAAGAGAAAACAAAATTTTACTTTGGTATTAGTAAACTATCAATACTAAAGCTAATTTTAATATAACCTTACAAATAAATTGATCAAATCTATTATCTTTTAACCATACAAGATTTTTATAAACGTTTTACATTTTACATTGCCCTCCAAACTTTCTTTACTTATTTAGCTTTATCTATTTTTTACTCCTTTAATTTGAAACCTTTTTTTTTTTTTGGTTTCCCAGGCTGGAGTGTGATTCTCCTGCCTCTGCCTCCCAAGTAGCTGGGATTACAGATGTCCGCCACCATGCCCAGCTAATTTTGCATTTTTAGTAGAGACAGGGTTTCTCCATGTTGGTCAGACTGGTCTCAAACTCCTGACCTCAGGTGATCCACCCGCCTCGGCCCCCCAAAGTGCTGGGATTATAGGCATGAGCCACCGTGCTTGGCCCCTAGAAAGTAATTTTGAACTGTTTTATATCAGTATTTGTAGAGAAAAACCATTTTATAATTTTTTAGAAAGATGCTTCTTTGAATTGTTATTAAGAGATCTAAATTTATATTTCACTTTTCTGTATCATATTAATAATTCATATAATAATTCATATTTTAATATTTTAATGTCACTGCAACATCCACCTCCCAGGTTCAAGCAATTTTTGTGCCTCTGCCTCCTGAGTAGCTGGGATTAAGGGATTACAGGCGTGAGCCACTGTGTTCGGCCCTTTTTTTTTTTTTTTTTTTTTAAGACAGAGTCTTGTTCTGTCACCCAGGCTGGAGTGCAACGGTGCTATCTCTGCTCACTGCAACCTCCTCCTCCTGGGTTCAAGTGATTCTCCTGCCTCAGCCTCCCAAGTAGCTGGGATTACAGGTGCCCGCCACCACCCCTGGCTAATTTTTGTATTTTTTAGTAGAGACAGGGTTTCACTGTGTTGGCCAGGCTGGTCTTGAACTCCTGACCTCAAGTGATCTGCCTGTCTTGGTCTCCCAAAATGCTGAGATTACAGGCATGAGGCATCACTTTTGGCTACTATACCTAAGGGATCCAACCTCTCCCAAAATAGCTGGTAAGCAATCAGGGGAAGCAAGGAAGAAGGCGCATACTGGTCTTGCTTCTGACTTGTAGCTGCTGGTCCAGGCACTAAGAGCACCCCTCCAGACCTCAGAATGGCCCGCTATCCAGACTCGTAGAGGCTCTAGACCAGAAACACAAGCTCACAGTCAAATCAAGCATCTAATAATATTTAACTGATCATTTTGAAGCCATTTTTATTTTACCAACAATTTTAAAACTATATTTACCAAATATTATCACACGTCCATAACACATCTAGACACACAAACACATAGAAACAGTCTTAGAGCTGTCATAAAGCTGTCTTTTTTTTATTTGCTGGCTTTTAAATAGCTTTTCTTTTCCCCATTCAGACTATCAATCTTCCAATTATCTGTTTCATTGCCCTAAGGAATTACTAACCAGGCAATAAATTTGCATTTCTAAAGAGACAACTGTTAGGTAAAACAAAAAAATTATATTTCATAAGCACAGAGCTAAGATTTTAGGACTAAATATTATATCATCATTTGCTTAAACCAAGGGAAAAAACAGTGCTCATGTAAAAGTTCAATCCAGGCAAGACGGCCAGAAAAGCACCTTACACAAAGGTATGACTTATTACGTAAACTTAAAACAATGGTAAGAGTTTCTAATGTACCTAGGCAGACACCCTCAAAAATTGAGATTTCCTTAATAAATGTAATTTTTTTTTACAAAAGGGTTTCATGATAGCCAATTAAATTCCAGAAAGCTGTATTTTATTTTATTTTATTTTATTTATTTTTTTGAGACAGTCTCGCTTTGTAACCCAGGCTGGAGTGCAGTGACACCATCTCAGCTCACTGCAGCCACCACCTCCTGGGTTCAAGGGATTCTCATGCCTCAGCCACCCGAGTAGCTGGGATTACAGGTGTGCGCTGCCACACTGGCTAATTTACTTATTTTTAGTAGAGTTGGGGTTTCACCATGTTGGCCAGGCTGGTCTTGAACTCCTAACCTCATGTGATCCACTCGCCTCGGCCTCCCAAAGTGCTGGGATTACAGGTGTGAGCCACCACGCCCGGCCCAGAAAGGTGGATTTTAGTTCAATAAGTGTTCTTTTTAATTTAGCCACTGTTTATTAGCTAAAATTAACTGAGTTCAGGGTGAAGCCCATTAAGGTATAAGGCAAAAAAAGCATGCTCTATATCTGGACTCAGTGTGAATAAATCTGAAAAAGTAGCCTTGCCTCTTATAAACATTTTATCTAGATTAGCTTTCTTTTCACCTTTGGGGTGGGATGGTAACTAAGCTAACAGATTAGCAGATTTAATTTTTCTTATCAGCTAGTTGTTTAAGCTTGTATTTGCTTTTTATAAAGAGTCTTTAAATACAAATATTAAAATCTCTTTAGAAGCTTTTCGGCTGGACGAGGTGGCTCATGCTTGTAATCCCAGCACTTTGGGAGGCCGAGGCGGGCAGATCACTTGAGGTCAGGAGTTCGAGACCAGCCTGGCCAACATGGCGAAATCCCATCTCTACTAAAAATACAAAAATTAGCTGGGTGTGGTGGCGTGCAGCTGTAATCACAGCTATTCGGGAGGCTGAGGCATGAGAATTGCTTGAACCTGGGAGGCAGAGGTTGCGGTGAGCCGAGATCGTGCCATTGTACTCCAGCCTGGGCAACAGAGCGAGAGACTCTGTCTCAAAACAAAACAAAACAAACAAAAAAAACCCCAACTCTTTAGTAGTTTCTGCATATCAGTAGGCACCCCTAGATGAGACTACTTTGGGAGGCCTCATTTTCAAATGCACTTCTTCCAGTGCAGTGTTGTTCATTTGTTTCTTCTTTTTTGTTTTTTAGAGAGATGGGGTCTCACTATGTTGCCCAGGTTGGTCTCGAACTCCTCGACTCAAGCTATCCTCCCAAAAGTGCTGGGATTATGGCCTGAGCCACCACTCCTGGCCCAGCCTTGTTTATTTGGAATGTTCCACTGTAACTTATCTTTAGCTTAAGATTTCACCATTTCCTAAGCCTTTGTTGCTTTCGGGGCCTAATACTTATGCATGTATAAGCTGGAAGGTACTCAATTCTTCAAAAATTAAGGATCCAATTTTTACCTAAAATATTGGCTTTGGCTCTCAGATTCTCTCAACCAACTTTGTCAATGATTTTTCCTTACCTAAGCATGCAAGAAGAAAGAAACATAGGGGGTAGAACACAAAAATCCCCACAAATTTCCAAAAGCTGAAGTTTACACCACATGCAATATTGCCACTTACTACCAGTTTCTTTCTGACCCAGTCAGACGTCTATAAAAGGCCTCTAACTGGATCCAAGCCAGTTATTGACCAGATCCAATTCAATCCTAGACCCAGTCCAATTTCTGTCATGACTTCCAAACCCAGTTTGGATCAGAAATTTGCTCAGACTCAGAGAGCTCAAAACACAAGTTCATGGAGCTTCTGAATCTGAGGGAGAACTTACCACGATCCCCAGTTGCTGTGAGAGAGAGCAATGGACATAGTGGGCCCAGGGGGTACCTCGCTTGGTCACTCAGTGCTCCTAGGGGTTGCTGGAAGCTCTACATCAGATCCCACTTCTGACACCCTCTGTTAAAGGAAAATCCTTGGCCAAATTAAATTTAGCAGATTTAATTGAGCAAAGAGCAATTTGCGAATTGGGCAGCCTCTTGAGCTAGACTCAGAGAGACTCCATCGCAGTGATGTGGTGGAAGAAGATTTTGGGACAGAAAAAAGGAAAGTGACATTCTGTACTGAGGTACAGAAATGGCCCAATTGGTTACAGCTTGGCATTTGCCTTATTTGAACACAGTTTGAACAGTTGGCCCCCTTTGATGGCCAAAACTGGGTGATTGGCACAAGAGTAGAATACATTCTGTTTACACCTTCCTTTAGGTTATTGTTCACTATGTACAGAGAAACCTTTAGGCTGAATTTAAAATATGTAAGGAGGCAGCTTTAGGGTAAACTTGATTTAACAAAAGGGTAGTGTGAATGTTTCTCATGGGTCAAAAAGTGGGCAAAGGCCAGGTCCGGTGGCTCACACCTATAATCCCAGCACTTTGGGAGGCTGAGGTGGGAGGATTGCTTGAGGCCAGGCATTTGAGACCAGCCTTGGCAACATCGCAAGACTCTGTCTCTTCAAAATAAAAAAAATAGCCGGATGTTGTGGCACACACCTATAGTCCCAGCTACTCAGGAAGCTGAGGCGTGAGAATCACTTGAGCCCAAAAATTTTAGGCTGCAGTGAGATATTAATCACGCCACTGCACTCCAGCCTGGGCAATAACGTGAGATCAAGCTGAAGAGCGAACCTTTGAGGCCCACGTAGCAAGAAGCTGGGATTAAAGATGTCACAAGAAACCATTCAGAAATGGATGCACCACCCTGGCCAAGGAATTGTGGAAGAAAGATCCCAGGGACGGGAGTCTCTGAACAATCTACAAAGCATCCAAACAGAAAGTCAGTTTGAATTCTCTGCCAACCCAGAGAGAGCAAAGCCAGCTGGCCAAGTGGCATGTGATCAGCCCCTTACCTCATCTCCTGCCCTTTCCCTCCCCTGGTGATGATGGAAACAGTGCTATGGAAGGGAGAGAGGAGGAGATTGGGTTGGAGGAAGAAGGTGATCGTCACCCCTTTCTCAGAGACAGCAGCATCAACTACAAGTGTCTGCAGCAAGAGAGGGAGAAGCCTTTCCTTCACATGAATACTCAAGAGTTATTTATATGTAACTATTGAATTGAGACTGTCCTTCTGATATAAAGTGACTGAAAGCCTCTCTATGACCTGAAACTGAGCCTGCTGAGCTTTCATTCTGTAGCAGAAGAAACACTTCCCACCCTGACTCACGTTAAAAAGGGTAGTGGGAGACCAGGCGTGGTGGCTCACACCTGTGATCCCAGCACTTTGGGAGGCCAAGGTGGGCGGAGCACTTGAGGTCAGGAGTTCAAGACCAGCCTGGCCAACATGGTGAAACGCTGTCTCTACTAGAAATACAAAAATTAACCAGGTGCAGTGGCATGTGCCTCTAATCCCAGCTACTCGGTAGGCTAAGGCAGGAGAATCACTTGAACCCAGGAGGCGGAGGTTGCAGTGAGTCGAGATTATACCACTGCACTCCAGCCTGGGTGACAGAGTGAGACTCTGTCTCAAAAAAAAAAAAAAAAGGTAATGGGAGGCAAGAAATAGTTTTTTATTTCATCACAAGCCATGCTTGTTCAGCATACAGATATGATCAAGGAATGGTACTACTGCAAACTGTAGACCCAGGACAGCGCATTGCACCCCCACGGCTGGGATGCTGCCACCACCCCAGAGACCCAAAGGCCACAATGTGAAACCCATGAAACCCTAGGATTATGCAGGTCATTCGTTCCTCTGACCCTTCTTTGCTGAGGGCGGAGAGGCTCACCAGAAAGTTCACCAAGATCCTGGGACAGGATTCAAGGTGGAAAGGATTTTAATTTCCCCGAGGGCCTTGTGTCCATCAGATAGAAACGATCTCCAGCCCTCTGGAGTCTCTCCCTGGCCTGGAGGTCTCTTACATTTCTGCCTGCCTGGGTCTCAGGTCTGAAATAACTGCACACCTCCATCTGTGGGCAGCTGCACCCACAGGCCAAGATCTGGATTCCTGGCTGCTGTATTGACAGCTGTGGTTATGGGGTCAAGCAGATTGAGGGTAGTTGGTAGTAAGGAAATGCCAGATATGTTAATAAAATACCCATGAGAGCAGAATCTATTCCTTGGCATGAGAGCAGAATCTCTTGAGGGGAAGGGGCAGCTGGAACATGTGGCTCTAACGTGGAGCTGGAACCTTATCCTCTCCCTAGGAGTCTCTCTTCACCAACCCCAGGCTCCCACACCTGCTTCCTGCTTTGATCCTCTGTCCCAAGGGTGAATATGTAACCTTTTTTCTTACCATCCAGATAGTGGAGACAAGGCTACCCTACTTAAACAAGGTTTTAACAAAAGCTTAAGACATGCAACTGAGAAGAGAACACAGTGATACGAAAGTGGCAGTCTGGGCTGGGCACTGTGGCTCACGCCTGTAATCCCAGCAGTTTAGGAGGCTGAGGTGGGAAGATTGCTTGAGCCCAGAAGTTTAAAAGACCAGCTTGGGCAACATAGTGAGACCCCATCTACCAAAAATTAAAAAAATTAGCCAGGTGCGGTGGCACACACCTGGTGTCCCAGCTACTTGGGAGGCTGAGGCGGGAGGATCACTTGAGCCCAGAGGATCAAGGCTGCAGTGAGCCATGGCCACATCCCTGCACCCCAGCCTGCGCAACAGAGCAAGAACCTGTCTCAAAAAAAAAAAAAAAAAAAAAGGAAAATCTGGCTCACAAGGCAGGGCTTGCTTTGTGACTCTCTCCAGAGGTCCCTCTCTCTCTTCTGTACCTCCAAAATCCACAGGCTGACACCACCTTGACTCCCTCTACTAAGGCAGTCGAAAGTTGGGACAATGAGGCCAGTAGAAGGAAGTGGATTCCCCACTGCAACTTGCTGAGGGCCTCATTTAATGATCCAGGTCCTTAGGTGAAGGATCTCCTCTTACCAGGGTATTAGTCCGGGAATGACGTCACTTCAGGGAAGTCCCACAGGTTGGGCTGCCCCTGTTCCCACCCCCAAGGATTTCTGGATGGGGGTTCTGTGGTATAATATAGAGTATCCTTGGTCTTTGCCTAGATTCCTGTCACAGAACACCTAAAACCCTTGGAGTTTCCTAACAGGAGTGTCTTTTGTTATTCTTTATTTCTTTTCTTTTTCCTTTGTTCTTCTTTTTTTTTTTTTTTTTTTTTTTTTTTGAGACAGAGTCTTGCTCTGTTGCCCAGGCTGGAGTGCAGTGGCACAAACGAACATGGCTCACTGCGGCCTCGACCTCCTGGGCTAGAGCAATCCCTCTGCCTTGGTCTCTCAAGTAGCTGGAACTACAGGCACACACCACCATGCCTGGTTAATTTTTGTATTTTTGAAGAGATGGGGTTTCTCTATGTTGTCCAGGCTGGTCTCGACCTCCTGAGCTCAAGGGACCCTCCCACCTTGGCCTCCAAAAGCGCTGGGATTATAGGCATGAGCCACTGAGTCTGGTCCCTTTGTTATTCTTAATGAGCCCCCTTTCATCACACCCACGGACAGCACTCTACAAGTCTTGCTCATGAAGGATGTGACCTCCAATTTCGGGAGAATACATCTTTCCCCAAATGATCTTGTGCCTTCCATCCAACCTTAAACACCTATGGACAGCCTGGCCCAGCCCTAAATCTAGCCAGAGGAGTTGCACACCAGCCCTCTGCCATTTAGAGCTGCCTTAACCCACCCTGGACTTTTGAAAGCCAAAAGTCCTAGCCAGAGAAAGGGCCAACTGAATAGGGACTGAGTTTCCAGGATAAATGATTCAATGTGCAGAAGTTCCTAGAGATGCTTGCTCTCTCAGGGAACTTGTGGCAAATGGGGGGTTTCAAACCTCTCATTTAGAGCCCTGTGATTGTAGTGAGGTCAGCCCTGCCAAGTGCCTGCCACCCAGACATGCTCTCCCTGGGACTTTAGGTAGGTCATGACCAATCATGAGCCCTAGAGCTTAAAAGATCCTTTAGCTCTTGCCTAATGTGGTCACCCCTGTCTGTACAGGAAGTCCTACTCACAAATGTTCGCAAGGCAATTTCAAAAACACCTGTCAACCAAAGCTTACGTAGACCCTCTTCTCTATATGTTAGAAGAATATATGATGTTCTTTCTATTCCAGGACGTATAACATTGGAAAGAAGCAATTTACTCATCTAGACTTGGAGAGTCTGGCTCAACATCAAATTAAAATCATGGTATGTCTGTGAAGGGTGGGGATTAGGTGGGGAGGTCCAGGGTAGCTTGCCGAGAGATACTCAAATAGGGTAAATACAGCCCATCCACCCGGAGCACCAATTTTTTAGAAGTTTTAAGGGGGAAAACACATTTTTATCTATAAACACATTATGAAACAGACTGTAAAATTCACATGAATTTTAAATATAAATTGCAAATTTTCAAAGAAATTTTTAGCTTACAGCTGGCCTTTTTGGGCTACAACCTCTTCTCACCCACCCCCAGCTGGTGTTCACGTGAGGGTGCTTTTGTGCAAAGCTGGAGAAGCACGGGATGTGAAGGGCCTTGCTGGAGGCAGAGCTCTGCAGATGAACCAGAAGACCGCACCCGAACCCCCGTTCAGCTGCGAGGCATAAACGCCTTCCCCTGGTTAGGAGCTGATGCCTCACTGTGAGCTTGGATGGCAAGTTCATAGAGGCCATCCACACGAATGGGTTTAATGGGATTTCTTTATCAATTGTTTAAAGAGAGTCTTTAGCGTCCCTCAATACCCTTTCCAGGAGGATACACAGAATAAATTCCTGCTTGACTTTTAGATCCCAGATAAAACTACTCCCGCAGAAGAATTAGAATTTCTTTGTCATATTGGACAATAAAAATTATGTAACTTACTGTGTTTCTTTGTGCTTCATTGCCAGACATCTTAGAAGCAAATCTCTTAGTCTTTTAATATGTTTGGTCCTGGTGCTGGAAAATGCCTGCTTCTTCTGTCACCTTCAGATGGACTCTGCTTTCCCACTCCTGTATGTCATGTCCTGTTCTGGGCTGTAAATAGCCAGCCCAGGAAGCAAGCAGGGCACACATTTTAACATATATATTTTTTCAATCAACTTTTAAATGACCATGACCAATTTACAACCAAAATTCACAAACAAGGCAAAAAACTATTAACACAGACTCTAAGACAAGTCAAGCATTAAAGAGAAACAGCTGATTTATTTATGTATTAATTTATTAATTCATTTATTTATTTGAGATGGAATTTCACTCTTGTTGCCCAGGCTGCGATCCAATGGCACGATCTTGGCTCACTGCAACTTCTGTCTCCTGGGTTCGAGCGATTCTCCTGCCTCAGCCTCTGGAGTAGCTGGGATTTCAGGTGCCCACCACCACGCCCAGCTAATTTTTTTTTTTTTTTGTATTTTTAGTAGAGACAGGGTGTCACCATGTTGGCCAGGCTGGTCTCGAACTCCTAACCTCAGATGATCCACCCACCTCGACCTCCCAAAGTGCTGGGATTACAGGTGTGAGCCACTGCGCCCGGCCAGTATTTTTTAAGAAAGGAAAATCTATGCAAATTTACATTGTTTTACTATTTTTAAAAAATGCCGGCTGGAGGAGGTTCACACCCTAATCCAAGCACTTTGGGAGGCTGAGTTGGGAGGATCACTTGAGCCCAGGAGTTCGAGACCAGCCTGGGCAACATAGTGAGACCACCATCTTTACAAAAAATAAAAAATTGAGGTGAACGTGGTGGCTCGAGCCACCTGCAGTCCCAGCTGCTTGGGAGGCTGAGGCAGGAGGATTGCTTGAGCTGAGGATGTTGAGGCTGCAATGAGCTGTGATTGTGTCACTGAACTCCAGCCTGGGTGACAGAGTGGAAAAAAACTTTTTTAATGCTGCAGTGAGTACCTATGTGCATAATTTTCTGATTGGCTCTTTAAGATATATTTCTGGAAGTGAAATTATTGCCCATGTGGTGTGACTATTTCCAAGGACAAATTAATTTTCCATGTCTGTTATGATGCTGTGAGTTGCAAGAAAGGCAGCGTAGCACAGTAGCTAGAATCTGTGGACTCTGGACTGCCTGGATGCAAATTCTGGTTCCACTACTGAGTAGATTTAAAAGCAGACTGTCTACCCTCGAATTCACCTCAGGAGCTAATGGTAAATATAAGAATCTACTCAGCAAAACGTAGAATAGAAAAGAAAGAGCAAGGGAATATAAAAACTAGAAAGCATAAAAGAAAATGAAAGAAGCAAACCCAAATAAAACCATTATGAATATAAATGTAGATGAGTTAAACTTGCCTAGTAAAAGACAATGATTCTCAAACTGGGTCAAAAGTCAAATGAGACTGAATGCTTTCTCACCTTCAGTTAACTCACTCTTTATGGCTAGGTGCAGTTGGGCACATCTGTAATCCCAGCACTTTGGGAAGCTTGGGGCGGACCACTTGAGCCCATGAGTTCGAGACCAGCCCTCCCTGGCACCGTAGCAAGAACCTGTCTCTACAAAAATCAAAAGAAAATAGTAAAACAAATAGCCAGGTGTGGTGGTGCATGGCTGTAGACCCAGCTCTCAGGAGGCTGAGGCAGGAGGATCCCTTGAGCCCAGGCGTTTGAGGCTGTGATGAGCTATGATCATGTCATTGCTCCATCCTGGGCAATAGAGTGAGACCTTGTGTCTAAAAAATACAAACAAAACCCCCTAATTATTTACCATAATATCTGGTCACCACACCCAGTTTACCACGGCCACTCACTGCTTTTATCATGGTGACCAAGGTCATTTAGGTGGTCACTAAATCTAGTGGAATCTTTTCAGCCCTTGTCTTTCTTAACCTCTTGGAAAATATTTGATGCTATTAGCCACACCTTTCCTCTTAACGCAAGCCATTCTCCTGGCTTCTTCTTCTTCTTTTTTTTTTTTTTTGAGATGGAGTGTTGTTTTGTCACCCAGGCTAGAGTGCAGTGGCGTAATCTTGACTCACTGCAACCTCTGCCTCCCGGGTTCAAGTGATTCTCCTGCCTCAGCCTCCCAAGTAGCTGGGACTACAGGCACCACACCTGGCTAATTTTTGTATTTTTAGTAGAGATGGGGTTTCACCATGTTGGCCAGGCTGGTCTCCAACTCCTGGTCTCAAGTAATTGGCCTGCCTCGGTCTCCCAAAGTGCTGGGATTATAGGTATGAACCACTGTACTCAGCCTTACTGGCTTCTTAAAGTTGCATGCTCTCTGGAATTCTTTTCTCTGGAAAAGCAGCAATTGGAAAGAAGCAATTTATTCATCTAGACTTGGAGAGTCTTTTAAAAGTCTTTTTCCTTTGCCCATCCCTTAAATGTTAGTGCTGCTCCTCAGGGTTCTCTCCTAGGTGCTTTTCTGTCTCCCTGTATATATGCTTTCTGGAAGCTCTCAACCATTCTCAAAGTTTGCATTATAACCCATATACTGATGTATCCCAAGTCTAGAATTCCAGCCCAGACCTCTTTCCTGGGCTCCAGATCTGTATAGCCAAATGCATAATGGATATTTTCATTTAGGAGTTTTGTAGGAACCTCAAACTCAGCATTACCCAGCTGAACTCATAATTTCTTCTATATGTTTCTGCCGTTACTAGTAAATGGCACCACCTGGTTTTCTAAAGTCAGACACCAGAGAGCCAGCTTTGACTCCCCTCTCCCCTGCCACCCACGTCAAATGAATCAGCCTCTCCTAAATATATTTTTCTAGTCTATTTGCTTCTTTACATTCTCATTGCCAATACCCTCTTCTTGCCCACCACCCTTCCACGCCTGGGCTATTGACTCACTTCCTAATGGTCTCCCTACCTTTAATTATGCTAGGCTATAATCCAACGTCCATTGTGCTCCAGAGATCTATCACAAAAAAACTTGACCATGACCCTCCCATGCTGAAAATCCTTCAGTGGCAAGGCCCTTTCTGAGCTGCCACTGAATTTCTTTCATCTTGAGTGTGCCTTGCTCTCTCTCACATTCAGGTCTTTGAACATGCTGTTCTCCCTCCTTAAAATATTGTTCTGCTTTTTCTTTTCTTAGCTTAACTCCTCTCATTTCAGGTCTCAGATTAAATGTCACTTTCTTAGGTTAGGTTTCCTGGCCATGTGCTTCCTTATCACCTGTATTTCTTTTCTCTACCACCCATCACAAAAGTATTGAAATTTCATACTTAATTGTCTTTCCCTGTTAGACCACAAGGGCCATATAGATGGGAACTGTGTCCATCTTTTTCATCACCATGTACCTTGGCACCTAGTGCTGTGCCTGGTAATCATTAAGTGCTCAATAAACAGTTATTGAATTTGGGCTGGGCACGGTGGCTCATGGGTGTAGTCCCAGCACTTCGGGAGGCCAAGTTGTGCGGACGGCTTGAGCCCAGCCAGGAGTTCGAGGGAAACATGGCAAAAGCCCCTCTCTACCAAAACAAAAAAAACCAAAAAGCCATACAGGTGCACGTGCCTATAGTCTCAACTACTTGGGAGGCTGAAGTGGGAGGATTGCTTAAGCCTGGGAGGGGAAGGCTGCAGTGGGTCATGATTGCACCACTGCACTCCAGCCTGGGTGACAGAGTGAGACTCTGTCTCAAAAAAAAAAAAAAAAAAAAAGAAAAAAAAGTTATTGAATTCATGGGCACATGCACAAGGATGCACCCTTTTCACATTGCTCATAATGGCAAAAAAGAAAAAAGTCTGGAAAATGCTTAACTTTCTAACAAGAGGGTGTATATGGTAAGTGAAGAGTGATCCTTCATATGTTGAATTGTCCATGCAGTCCAGTCATAGCAATATCATGAAAACAGATAGTTAATGACGTGTAGAAAGACGTTTCTCATCTATTGCTGGGAGAAAACAACAGTATTGTATATAAAAATGTATATGTATAATTTCGCTCTATTTTTGCTCTTGTGTTTTGAATATCCCTTAGAATTCTTCATCTTATCCATCTACTACTGTTCGATTTATTTTGTTCTTTTTCTTCTCTGCTTGTTTTCTTCATATGGCTGACTGCTCATGTTTTATGAAAGACATCTCTTCTTCCATTCTGTTGAAGATGTCAAACAATTTTCCAACATTTTCTTGTATCCTGCAGTAGTCTGCATTTTCAGGAATTATCCCCTTCCTCTTGCTCTTCAAGGAGGAAGGGATTTGTCCTTTCTCCTATTCAGTAGCATTTTGTCGTGGGCTCAATTTTTTTTCTCTTTTTACTTACTTGGCATGAATGAAACAAAATTGTCCAGCTTGGCCCCTCACTCTCTGCTTGGGAGATAATAGCATCCTTTTCTTAGATCGACAGCTTGAGAGGAGGTTGGTGTAAATGGTTCCCAGTCAAACTCTGAGTTCTAGAGGACTCTAATACAGCTTTGCTCGCAGAGGTGGCATCTCCTTTGACACCTACTGCCTGGCTCTTTGATTCTGTGACCCCATATCGTGCATAACGACTTCAACTCCTTTTCCATTAAAAGGAATCAGGGCTTCTAGGGGAAATGGCTGATTCCAGGTCTGGGTAGGAAATACACAAGATAAACCTGAATGTCTTTGAATACCAGATAGTGAGGATTATTCATCAAAATGACGCAGGAACCAACTTGAAGGGCTTCCACTGGCCAATGACAGATAATTTGAGTGTCAGTGAGATAATTGCAATGGATTGAAACATAAAATAATTAAGTCTATGCATTCATCATTATTCCCTTCCCAAAACAAAAGCCCTAGTCAGGTTCTGTGAGAACATGTTAGAGGCCAACTCATTATTTTGAAAATTGATAGATAAAGGTAAGAAAGCAAGTGTTTACATTGCCTTTCCTATGAGAACTTTATCACTGAGAAGCCATATACAGATTGTGGGGAAATTTCTCCTTATAGAAGTATTACAGGTGATAAATGAAGAAGGAAGGATAGCGTTAGAACCGTTTTGCAACCCCTAATGTATAATGAATCTAGGCTTTGATCATGAACAGCTACCATCATCACGAAAAAGAGACATAACTAGACATTAAGGGACTCCTGGTGGAAGAAAACAGCAGCACCTATAAAGTAGTCTTGCCAAAAATATCTGACAAACCTGATCAAGCCCCTCGATTCCACTCCCATTTTACAGGAAATTCAGAGGTAGAGGAACACGTTAAACATTTCACCACTAGCAATATGAGTATGCAGTCATCAAAATCCAGACTGTGGGAAACTCTACAGGACAAACAACTTGCTCTCTTTAACAAATAATTTGCCAGGAGAAAAAAGAACTCTCTCTATATATATGA
This sequence comes from Homo sapiens, assembly GCF_000001405.40. Classification (NCBI taxonomy): domain Eukaryota; kingdom Metazoa; phylum Chordata; class Mammalia; order Primates; family Hominidae; genus Homo; species Homo sapiens. The sequence goes on along the minus strand of NC_000003.12, from coordinate 125,409,149 downwards.
GAGAAATGGTAGAAGGGGAATGTATAGAGACTTAAAAGATTCTCAGGCACAGTGGCTCGCACCTGTAATCCCAGCACTTTGGAAGGCCAAGGCAGTCAGATCACTTGAGCCCAGGAGTTCGAGACCAGCCTGGGCAATATGGTGAAACTCCATCTCTACAAAAATACAAAAAATTAGCCAGGTGTGGTGATGCACACTTGTGGTCCCAGCTACCCAGGAGTCCGAGGTCAGAGGATCTCCTGAGCCTGGGATATTGGGGCTGCAGTGAGCGGAGATCGTGCAGCACACTCCAGCCTGGGCAACAGAGCGAGACTCTTTAAAAAAAAAAAGATTCTCAATGTATGAAACTTATTTAGATTCTGATTCAAGTGATTAAAAAGTATAGTTATTAAATGAGTGAAAAATTTGAGCACTGACTGGATTTTTTTTCTTTTTTTAAAAAATTAACCTAGTGCTAGCTCGTGGTTTTTTGTTTGTTTGTTTGTTTGTTTGTTTGTTTTTAATAATATTAAGAAATGTGGCTGGGTGCAGTGGCTCACACCTGTAACCTCAGCACTTCGGGAGGCTGAGGCCGGTGGATCGCCTGAGCTGAGAAGTTTGAGACCAGCCTGGGCAACATGGCAAGACCCTGTCTCTATAAAAAATAAAATAAAATAGAAAAAAAAAGAAATTATGTTAACTATTAGGGTGATAAAGGTATTGTATAATGTAAAAAAAATTTTAAAGATAACTGCAAAACTATTTACAGATGAAATAAATGGTACAATGTTTGCAGTATGTTTCAAATTGAATGAGGAGTACTAACTGGATTTAAAAGAAATCAGATTGGCCATGAGTTGATAATTGTTGAATGGGGTGATGACAGCATAGAGGATCATTATACTATTCTGCTCATTTTGTATCCCTGATGTTCTCTATAATAAAAAGTTTTAAAAATTGAATTTATAAAAAAAAATACAGTAAACCCTTAACACCTGACTCCCGATGAAACACTGCTTCTGTCCCTTTAGTACTATGGAATCCTGCTTACATTCCATGTCCTCAGTGGGTTCGGTTCCCATTTGACCACAGTTTCGTTCTTCATTCAGCGCTTCAATTGCCTTGAAAATCCTTTATATTTCCCATGAAAGAAGTAATTAAGATATTATGTATTTACCTTGTAGAGTGATTCTTACATACATTAGCATTTGAATAACACTTAGATAAACTAAAGGAAGATGCAATACCTTGGAATACTTTCTCCACTTGTTTTCCTGGCACCATTTTTTCTGTTTTCATTAGTAGTATTTTTTTGTAGAGACCGAGTCTCACTATGCTGTTCAGGCTGGTCTCAAACTCCTGGGCTCAAGGGATCCTCCCGTCTTGGCCTCCCAAAGTGCTGGGATTACAGGCATAAGCCACCATGCCAGGCCAACTTTTTCTTGATTCTCCTCTTACCTATTGGCCACTTCTTCACTGCTGGAGTGTCCCAGGGTTTAATCCTAGGAGTCCCAGATTTAAACTGATGAGTCCCAGATTTATATCTTTAGCCCAGACTCAATCCATGAACTGCGGTCTCATTTATCTAACTGCTTACTTGACATGTCCACTTGGGATTCTAATAGGCTCTCAAATTAACACATTTGAAGGAATTCCTAATTTCTGCACATTCCCCAACTTGCTCCTCCCTGAGTGTTTCTTTTTCCTATAAATGCTCTGTCGCCCAGACTGGAGTGCAATGGTAGGAACACAGCTCGCTGCAGCCTCAGCCTCCTGGGCTCAATCAATCCTTCTGCCTTAGCCTCCTGAGTAGCTGGGACCACAGGTGTACGCTCCCATGCCTGGCTAATTTTTAAATTTTTTGTAGAGGCAGGGTCTTGCCATGTTGCCCAGGCTGGTCGTGAACTCCTGAGCTAATGCAATATGCCTGCCTTGGCATCCCAAAGTGCTGGGATTACAGGCTTGAACTACCGTGCTTGGCGTTGGCCTTGAATTTTTTCAATAGTTTTCAACTAAGTTTGGACAACTTGGTGAGATCCCATCTCTGAAAAAAAAAAAAATGAGCCAGGCATGGTGGCATGCACTTGTGGTCCTAGCTACTCAGGAAGCTAAGGTGGGAGGATCACTCGAGTCCAGGAGGTTGAGGCTGCAGTGAGCTGTGATTGTGCTGCTGCACTCCAGCCTGGGTGACAGAGTAAGACCCTGTCTCAAACAAACAAAAAAACCCACACACAAAACAACAGTTTTCAAGTGGTCTCCTGGGCTTTCTTTGTTGCCTCCACTGACAGGCACTCAAACCTAGCAACCCAGGTGTGGTGGTTCACACCTTTAATCCCAGCAATTTGGGAGGCTGAAGTGCGAGAATCACTTGAGACCAGGAGTTTGAGACCAGCCTGGAACACAGTGAGATCCTGTCTGTAAAAAATTAGCTGGGCATGGTGGTGTGAGCCTGTAGTACCAGCTACTCAGGAGGCTCAAGCTACTTAGGGGCTGAAAATCCCTTTAGGTCAGGAGTTCAAGGCTGCAGTGAGCTACGACTATGCCATGGCACTGCAGCCTCTGTAACAGAGGGAGATCTCATCTCTAAAAAAAAACCAAAACACCAAAACCACCCTCCCACAACCAAAAAAAAAAAAAAACCTAGCAACAAATGTGATCTTACATCAGATTATGTTGCTCCTCTTCTCCAAATCTGCCCATGTAGATTTTTACTCTATCTTAAAGTAAAATTCAAAGTCTTAAAATGATTTACAAAGCCCTTCAACTTATTGTGCAGTGAACCCCATTGCCCTCAACAAACTACCCCTGTCACCATGTGCCTTGCTATTCTCTGCTTCACTGACTTTCCTCAGCTCACTGACTTTACTGCTGTTCCTTGAACATGCCAAGAACACTCCCACCCCAATACCTCTATTTTCTTCACTCCTCTGCTCAAACGTCACCTTATAACCTCCCATCGCCCACAACTACACTTACACCTACACACACACACACACACACACAGTTCTCAGCCCTTCCCCTCCCATTTACCTTGCCTTATTTTTTTCTGTAACACTTATCCTCTGCTATACTCTACATTTCTTATTTATTTATTATCTTTTTTCTCTACTGTAGTGTAAAGTCCTTAAGAATAGGAAATTTGTTTTGTTCACTGCTGTATTCCCACTACCCAAAATAGTGCTTGGCATGTAGAGAGAGCCCCAAAATATTTATTGAATGGGTAAATTGATGAAGGAAGTGATATGGTTTGTCTGTGTCCCCACCTAAATCTCATCTTGAATTGTAGCTCCTGTAATCCCCACGTGTCGAGGGAGGGACCCAGTGGGAAGTCACTGAATCATGGGGGCAGGTTTTTCCCATGCTGTTCTTGTGATAGTGAATAAGTCTCACAAGATCTGATGGTTTTATAAAGGATAGTTCATGAGCACACACTGTCTTGCCTGCTGCCATGTAAGACATGCCTTTGCTCCTCCTTCACCTTCCTCAATGATTGTGAGGCCTCCCCAGCCATGTAGAACTGTGAGTCTATTAAACCTCTATTTCTTTATAAATTACCCAGTTTCAGGTATGTCTTTATTAGCAGCGTGAGAATAGACGAATACAGGAAGGAACAAGAAGAAAGCCTAAATGCAAATGGGTAGCTACTAAACATTTAAGATACCCACTGAATCGCAGCAGTGATGGGTGATGGGTGGGAAGTTTGGAAGTGTTCTTGCTCATCTGCAGGTTGAAGCTGCCATGTTGTGGTACTTTCTATGGGGAAGTCCACACTGCAAGAAACAAGGGATACTCACCCCAACCCTTGCACAACTGAATCTTACCAACAACCACCTGAGTGAGGGAGGAAGACGTGTCCTTCCTAGTTGAGTTTTGAGATGACTACAGCTTTTTGAGAAATTCATTTGGGAGACTCACCTGCTCTGTACCTGGATTCCTGTCCCCTGGAAATCGGAGATAATAAATGTATGTTTGTTGTTGTTGTTGTTGTTGTTGTTTTTAGATGGAGTTTCACTCTTGTTGCCCAGGCTGGAGTGCAATGGCGCGAACTCAGCTCACTGAAACCTCCGCCTCCTGGGTTCAAGCGATTCTCCTGCCTCAGCCTTCCGAGTAGCTGGGATTACAGGCATGCACCACCAAGCCCGGCTAATTTTGTACCTTTTTGTTTTTTTAGTAGATACGGGGTTTCTCCATGTTGGTCAGGCTGGTCTTGAACTCCTGACCTCAGGTGATCCACCCGCCTCGGCCTCTCAAAGTGCTGAGATTATGGATGTGAGCCACTGTGTCCGGCCTGTATGTTGTTTTAAGCCACTAAGTTTTGGGGTAATTTGTTAGGTAGCAATACTTAATTAATACAGAATTTGGTCTACTGACTGGACCATAAGTTCCTTGCAAGCAGTAACTGTTTACTCAGCACTTGTCAGATGAATATGTTTTAAGTATTTGAATGACTTAGAGTTTTCAATACTCTGCGTCTGCTAGGGGGAAGTTGAGAAAAGCTGCCTCAGGCGGCTGCTAACCAGATGCTACTTTAAATGTACTGTCTGTCTCTCAGCCTTGCCTCTCAGTCCCTAATCTATCATCCCATTGGATTGAACTTCCCAGGGGTTGTGATAATGTGGAACACATTGAAGTTTCCTAAATAAGTGATCACTTTCCACCCCATGTAGGATGTGGATTTCAGAGCTAGGGATAAGCAGGGAGGGAATAATCATACCAATAACAATGGCCCCTTGATTAGAAATTTGAATGCTGTTCCTCTTAAAACATTAACTTGCAGTTAACAATCACAGGTTATTGTTGGAAATCAAGCTGATTGAATATTTCCCTCTTCAATCAAGATGCATATCCCTAGAGGAGTGATCCATAGGGAAACAATCTTCCTAGTTGAATTAATGCATGGATGGGACTTTTCTAGAGCCACCCACGAGGCTAGCATTCAGGTCTCCGGCATTTAATTCCTCATTTTGAATCTCGGGCAGAGATTGTGATAAATATAAGAGACTGAACACATTAACTATTGGGTCCTAGCATCTCATCTTTCCATGTGCACACTGACACAGGCAATACTTATACTGAGCCGTAGTGAATTCCTTTCATCAGAAAGCTGACTTAGCCTCAAAGTAAAAATTCCTTATTGTACCAGTCAGAGACTCAGGGAGAACTGCTCAGCTCTGCCCAGTCACACAGTTAGTGCCAGGCTACAGGGGGAGCTACAATTCACTGGGTGTAGCTTCCCCTTTTGTAACCAGGCCCCTCTAGGCGGGTGATGTGACAGCTGAGGAGAAAGAGGACCAAGGCAGAATCTTGTCATGAAAGCCCACATTCTATATTCTAGAAAGGATTTCTACTCTTCATGGGGTGTGTTCTAGGGCCCTGGGGATTGGGAGAATGCAGCTGCTTGGCTTTTTTTAAACTCAAATTTGTATGCTTCTCCAGCAGATGATTGCTAATACTGCTAAGGCTGGACAAGCCTCGTTCTAATTTTTTGAGTTACCAATAGAATGTTTTTGCCGAGCTGCCTTCTTTGAGGATAAGAGGGGCTTGATGATGCCTTACCCAGCTGGGCAGAGCAGGGTGCTATATGACCGGTAAAACTGGAATTGTGCAAGGAGATGGGGCTTGGCCTTGAAATCTGGGCAAAATAAATGTATTAGAGAGGGGCTCTCCCTGGAGGGAAGTTGGTTAGTAGGGACATTAATATGGTTAGTAGCAGCGAATTCCTGGGTTCTGGGAGGCAGCTCTGCAGAAGGGGACTTTGATGATGCTCAGGCTGAAGGGAGTGGAGGTTAGAGGACTCTGCCAATGAGAGAGGCTGCTAACTTAGAAGGAGATCCAAGGCTTCTTATAGATTGACTTGTCTTTGTTCTGGCCACCTTGTTCCTCCCAGGGTCAATGTGTGAAGATGTCTGCAAGGCCTTCCGCTGGTATCTGAGTTCTTCTTCGAAGCTCTGGGGAAACCAGAATGTGGACATAAATCTTTTAGTTAGTTGTTAAGTGATCTTGATAGTCACTGGAGTTCTATCTGGGCCCTGAGTATCATTTCATTCATTTACTCATTTATTCATCCAATGAATACATTTATCGAGCATCCACTTTGTGTCAGGCATTTTTCTGAGCTTTGAAATTAGAAAGATGAACAAGATCCATGAGGCCTCTGTCTTCATGGGTTTTTTTTTGTTGGGGGTGACAAGGGTCTAGCAGCATGCAAAATGGTGAATCTGCTGGCTCATGGGTTCCTGCGGGCAGTTATATTTCAATAGTCATGTGGGTGTGATTTTCCCGGTTGACAGCTCTTCTGGAATATAAGCAGCTGCAATCAGCATATCAAAAAGCCTCCCTAATGGAGTGCTGCCTCTTGGCTGAGACTTTGAAAGCTTCAGAGAAAGATGTTTTTGTCTAGGCAGAAGGAAACTGTGTCTTGGCAAGGGGCATCCAAGGGAAACTCAAAACACCTGCAGTTGATTTTAGCTTGAGCAGAAAATCCTACTTTTGTCATTAGAGATGTAAAAACATCCCTCAAACTCCACCCCACTCTCATCCCACTGTGAGAGTTGGGTCCAGTAGACCTGAGACACAAGGTTCACTGAGGATCAAAACAACAGGTTATCAAGAATTCATCCGTTTGTTCCGGAACGATCTTTTGGAATATGATATTACTATGAATCCTCTAGAAACCAAGTAAACTGGCTTGATCTGAAATAGTTTCTGAGAGGAACATGGGGCATATTTGACTATTGCGACTCTTAATTCCTCAAGAACAGTTTCTCACCCCTGGCTCCACATTGGAATGACCCATGGCATTTAAAAAATTATTGATGGCCGGGTGCGGTGGCTCACTCCTGTAATCCCAGCACTTTGGGAGGCTGAGGTGGGTGGATTGCTTTAGTCCAGGAGTTCGAGACCAGCCTGGGCAACATGGTAGAACCCCGTCTCTACTGAAAATACAAAAATTAGCCTGGCATGGTGGCATGCGCCTGTAGTCCCAGCTACTTGGGAGGCTGAGGTAGGAGGATCACCTGAGCCTGGGAGGTCAAGGCCACAGTGAGCCATGATTGCGCCAGTGCACTCCAGCCTGGGTGACAGAGTGAGACCCTGTCTCAAAAAAAAAAAAAAAAAAAAAAAGAAATTATGCAGGAGTCCAATCCCGGACCAATTAAATCAGTGCGTATGAGTGTGAGGCCTGGGCAATTACCTTATTTTTTTCGGAGGCTGTTTGATGCTGATGTGCATCCAGGGTGGGGAACCGCTGCTCCAGACAGCTCTAGATTGTAGGCAGGCCTTTTTATTTCAGAGAACAAAGGTAAGTTAAACAGGCGCTTGTCCATGTTGAGAGGACTCTCAATCTAACCAGTAAATTGGTCAATAGGTCTACATTTCAAAAACAAATTTCCAAAGTGCAAGTCATTTTTCCTATGGCTAGAAATCTTTAAAATTGTCAAAGCAAACCTTCATGTCCAAAGCAGCTTTGAAGTTTGAAATTGAAAGCTGGCAGGCTATGTCACCCTGCAGAAGGGAATATTTTAAATTCCTGGAGAGCATGTCAGAATTTCAAAGGATAATAATAATAATAGTTGAAAGCTGACTGATGTCTAGAGCCAAGCAAGCAGCGAGGCTTAACAGGATCATAGTCACCAAAAAATTCCAGACCCTCTCTGTGTCTTCTTCATAGAAATAGGCAATTATGCAGTTGGAAGGCCAGCCTCCTAACCAACAAAAGAATTCCTTCTGGAACATCTCTGCTGGAGGGCCAGATAATCTCTGCTAGAACAATTTAGGTAAAGAGGCACTTACCATTTTCCTAGAACAGTCTGCACTACTTTAGTGTAGCTGGGTTAGTAAAAGAAAGGTATCCCTTCTGTTGAGTTGAAAACAACACATGTATCTCACCAGTCCTTGTTCTGCCCTAATCCAGAGTTGGAGCTTCTACAACAACCATGTCTAGCCATGTCCACTCACCAGTTCTCTCTTCTCTAGCCTGTGTCCTCAGTTTCTCTGACCATTCTTGGTATAAGATGGTTTCCAGATTCCTCACCAGCTGGGTGTTCTCCTAAATCTGTCAATGTCCTTCTTAAATATGATACCCAGAACCAAACACTGAGTATGAAATATCAAATGCATCAAGAAGGGCTGGGACAAGATTCAGACACAGAAGAACCCAGGCTAGCTGCTCTGTAATTAGAAAGGGATCTGGGCCCTGGCCAGGTCAGCGTGGGGACCCTGGCATGGGCTAAGATAGACCTCACAGAGGCACAAATCACCCGTGACCATAACCATGTGGTCAGAAAAGGACAGACAAGCTTTAGCACCAATTTGATTATGTTTAACCAAGGATTGGACACAAATGCAACCTTGTAATTTTAGTGCTCTGGCAGGAAGAGCCCCACTGGCCACTTGAGGATGCTGGCTGAGAAGTTGGAGGCTCTCATGTCAAACATAAGTGATATGGGGGCCCTGGGTTGTTTCCAGACAGATGTTAGTGGAATAATCTGGAAGGCAGGGTGGGATTGAGACCAAAAGTGGTGCCCTGTTTCCTTGCCCAGAACATTGGGAAACTCGGTGTTCTTAGGAGAATAGAAAAGAGGCAGAGGTAGTGACCCAAATATATTCATCAAAAGCCGCCCCGCTTGGAGAAGGAAGGGGATAGTTGTCTCAGCTCCCTTGCACACCTGCTCTTTTCTTGTGTTATAGAGTCAGGGCTTTAGAGAACGCTCTGCAGAATACCGTGTCTGGAAAGAGACAAGTTCAGAGAGATTTCCAAGGGTAGCAGACCAGAGGCAGCTTTGCCCTTCAGAAGGTGAAGGCTACTTGGAGAGCTGGCATCTGAAGGTGAGGATAAAAGCAAGCACATCACTTCCTCATGTTGAGGCCAGAAAATAAGAATCATAATTAGAAGTGATGTAATCATTTTGCTCGAAAATCATTTCTGTGTGTCTGACCAGCAGAATAGGCTTCTTTCAGCAAGAAGCTCAGGGGAGGGTCAAGGTTGCAAGTTGTCACAGGGAGGGGACTCTCTCACGAGAGGGGGCCTTTGTGCCTATGTGGCAGCAGCCACTAGCTCTTTGTCATTTGGTTTGTCTAGTCTCAGCACATCACCACATACAATGACTATGATAAAAGACTTCCTGGCTGGGCATGATAGCTCATGCCTATAATCTGAACACTTAGGAAGGCCAAGGCAGGAGGATGGCTTAAGGCCAGGAGTTCAAGACCAGCTTGGGCAACAAAGTGAGATAATGCTGTCTCTAAAAAAAAAAAATCCTGATTTTGTGGGTGGTTGATGGCTGATCTGATCTTCTCCTTCCAATGTCACCATCTTCTCTGGAAATGATCTGAAATGCAGAGCAGACATGAGAAGCAACTACAAAAACTGAGGGCTGGAAGTGGAGGTGAGGGGAGGTTGTTTTGTTTTCTTGGTCTGAAATATCTGGATTCTTGAGTTCTCTCATGGCTTGCCTGGCATCTGAAATGATGTGACATTATGGCAGTTGGAAACAAATACACACGAAGGACTTCCATGAATGAATATTTTCCTTTTAGAGAAAAAAAAAACCAACCTATTAGTGATGCTATTTTTTTTAAACTGGAGGAAGTCAACATTTAGCTTGAGTGGATCCCTACAAGCTCCTCTGACAACTCAAAACAGAAGATCCAGACATTGCCTAGTAAAATCCACATCTCAGAAATTCCAGGGAACACATAATTCTCATGTTTTAGAGAAGAAGGAAGCAGGTTTGGAAATGGAATCAGTTGAAATGAATGTCAGCCTTCAGGAAATTGTACTGCTCAAGAGAAATTTTAATGTTCTGAACATGTGCAACTATCCAAAATCATGGAGTAGGAAATGTGTTGGTTCATTCATTCATGCATTCATTCACATAACAAATATTTATTGAGGGCCAACTCTGTGCCCACAGTGTCTCTTTGGCTTCCCAGGTTAGAGGCAGCTCTGTCAGGTGTTCTAACTCTGTAGGAGGGAGATATTGCATATTCATTAACCTCCTCCTGGGAGGCAGGGTGCCCCCAGGCGATCAGATGCTAGTGAGGCAGATGGAGCCTCATTCTTAGATTTCATAAGCTCTCAGCAGCCTTCACATTTGGAAACACAGTTTATGGAGGGAGATGATCTCACCTACATGGCAGGGATTGAGGACACCTGAATCCAGGTTTCTTCAACTTTCCTACTCTCTCTCTCTCTCTTTTTTTTTTTTTTTTTTTTTTTTGAGACAGGTCACCCACACTGGAGTGCAGTGGTGCAATCATAGCTCACTGCAGCCTCAACCTCTGCACCTGGCCAGCTTTCCTGCTTTTCACATAAAAATGTCTTTGTATCTTTACTCATTGCCTTCTTCTCTCTTGTTTCAAGAAAGAAATGCCTAAGGCTGACCAAGCATGGTGGCTCATGCCTATAATCTCAGCACTTTGGGAGGCTGAGGCAGGAGCATCACTTGAGGCTGGCAGTTCAAGACCAGCCTGTGCAACATAGTGAGACCCCCGTCTTTACAAAAAAATGAAAAAATTAGCTGGGCATTGTGGCACACGCCTGTAGTCCTGGCTACTTTTTGGAGGTTGAGGCAGGAGGATGCCTTGAGCCTAGGGGTTTGAGTCTGCAGTGAGCCATGAACGTGCCACTGCACCCCAGCATGAGTGACAGAGCAAGACCCTGTCCCAAAGAAAAAAAAGAAGTGCCCAAGGCTAATTTCTCCAACTGAACCTCAATCCCTTCTCACCCAATATCCTTGAAGCCTTGCCCCATCGACTGTCCTCACCTCTCCAGCATCACCTCTTATTTTTTCCTGCTCTCCACAAACAAACCTGCTTCCCTGTTTCTCTTGTACAAACTAACTCTCTATTCTGTTACTTCTCAAACTATCCTGAGTTTCTCTATTTCCAGCAACACCAGCCTCCTCAGATGGTACTTCTTCCCCCTTATTCACTCCATCATCTCCCTGCAAACTTTATAGGTTCACACAAAACTGTAATTCCAAAGGTGACCAATGACCTTCGTGACAGAGAGTTATGTCCCAACATCTGTCATCTTCTTTTAGAAATAGAACCCATTATTTTTAGCTGCATACCAGACTGCCCAGTTAAAGATTGCATTTGCAAGTTTTCCTTGCAGCTAAGTGTTACCATGTATGTAACTTCTGGGATGTCCCCTGAAAAGAAAGGGGGCATGCTATTCACTTTTGCTTTTCACCTGCACCCTGGCTAGAATGTAGAAGGATGTCAGGGACAGTCATTTTTGACCTGAAATAGCAACCTCATGTGCTGAAGATAGTAGAGCAACAAGATAGAAGGAGTATGGGTCCCCATCAATGTGGCACTTCCACATTATCCCCGAACTATTTATGCTGGGCTCTTGTGTGAGGAAGATATACTGTACACTGTTATTTTGGTCTTTATTACAGCAGCCAAATCTGTATCATTATAGAGTAACCCATATCTTCAACATAAGCTTCTGATTGCCTGTTGCAATGACCATTTCTTAGGCCCTCCTGTCCCTGCAGCACTGGACACTGTGGATTCCCTTCCTCTTCCTGCTGCTCTCCTGATATTGCATAATCCGATTCCCTTCAGTGGCTACCCCAGTGCCATCCCTCCTTTATCCATGGCCCTCTTTGGTAAGCTGATCCCAACTCATTATTTGTTCTTCTTCTTCTTTTTTTTTTTTTTTTTTTTTTTTTGAGACAGAGTCTCACTTTGTCACTCAGGCTGGAGTGCAGTGGTGCGATCTTGGCTCACTGCAACCTCTACCTCCTGGGTTATAGTGATTCTCCTGCCTCAGCCTCCCAAGAAGCTAGGATTACAGGTGTGCGTGCCACCACGCCCAGCTGATCTTTTGTATTTTTAGTAGAGATGGGGTTTTGCCATGATGGCCAGGCTAGTCTCGAACTCCTGACCTCAGGTGATCCACCCGCCTCGGTCTCCCAAAGTGCTGGGATTACAGGCATGAACCACCGTGCCTGGCCTCAACTCATCATTTCAATCCTTTCTTCAGAACTTATTAGCACTACTCCTGGACCAGTGCAAAGACCAGAGCAGTATGGCCTGATGGCAAAGAGCACAGACCGCCCTGCTTGAATCCCGGCTCTGCCACCTAACCACTGTGGGATCTTGGGCAAGTTACTTAACCTCTCCTTGTCCCAGTTTTCTCATCTATAAAGGGAGGATAATAAGAGTACTAATCTCAAATGGCTGTTGTAAAGAGTAAATTAGTTAATGGATATACAGTTTTCAGAACAGAGCCTGGCACCTGGAAAGTTCTATGTAAAGTGTTAGCTCTTGCTGTTGTTGGTGTTCACACCTGAGGACGCAGGTCCCAGTCCCTGAACGTGGCTGGCCCAGACGTTACCTTGGAGGCACAGTCATGTCATGGTGCTTTGGCGGCTAGAAATGAGATTGGATTTCTCAGCCTGCCTGATTCCTGATCTCTTCGCTGCTCTGGCCTCTGGCAATTACAAGATGCTTTTCCTCCCCTCTGTTTCAATGACTTTTGGATGCCTCAGTGTTTGTAGTTGCTTCTCATGTCTACTCTGTATTTCAGATCATTTCCAGAGACGATGGTGATATTGGAAGGAGACGATTACCCATCTCTAGTCCTGACCCTTCACTCAAGCCCCACTGCTGCCTCAAACAATCCATGGCCATGGCACCTCAAACCTCTCCTTTGCATCACTGTCAGAGCTGTCCAGATGGGTTCTGCTTGGTTGGTGGATTCGCAGGCCTTGGACTGTGGGGCTGACTCGAGATAATTTCCACACGCCACTGAGCATTTTTACTGGGAAGCGTTTCTTTCCTTCTCCTGGATGATGGTGTTATCGGACTTGTATAGATTAGGAGGGAGACCTTAGGTTTCAGAATCAGACTGACCTTAATTCAAGTCCAAGCTACCCACTAGTATTGGGCAAATTATTGTACTCAGAGTCTCATAACACACAACTCACAAATATGTTAGCAAAAATTAGATACACGTAGATAATGCACACAGGAAACGTGGCACATAGGAGGCATTAAATAAATTTTTTCTCTTCTATTAAAAAGTAATGTTTGTTCTGTTTACATTTACTTATATTTTGCATTTTTTTTTCCTCTAAAACTTACATGTGGGGCCAGAGGGTTCCAATTTGCTTGTTGCCCGTACCTGTAGGGGAAGTGAACCTTAGCAGGTTTGGTATACAGTGCAGCAACCCAAAACTATTGAAATTAAATGAATGAATTTATATCAAATTGACTCCAGAAATGAGTTTTTAAATTTTAATTTAATTTAATTTTCGTAGAGATGACCCGGGGGTGGGGGTGGGTGGGTGTGGTCTTGCTATGTTGCCCAGGCTGGTTTCGAACTCCTGGCCTCAAGCTATCCTCCCATCTTAGCCTCCCAAAGCGCTGGGCAGAAATGAGCTGAAGTGGCCCTTTAATTTATTTTTATTTTATTTATTTATTTTTGAGACGGAGTAGTGCTCTGTCGCCAGGCTGGAGTGCAGTGGCACAATCTCAGCTCACTGCAACCTCTGCCTCCTGGGTTCAAGCAATTCTCCTGCCTCAGCCTCCCGAGTAGCTGGGATTACAGGTGTGTGCCACCACACCCAGCTAATTTTGTATTTGTATTAGAGACAGGGTTTCACCACGTTGGTCAGGCTGGTCTCGAACTCCTGACTTCAGGTGATTCACCCGCCTCGGCCTACCAAAGTGCTGGGATTACAGGCTTGAGCCACTGCACCTGGCTGGTAGTCAGTTTTTCATATGGTTATACAGAGCCAGCCCAGAAAGAGCTTTGCTTTTTTCATTGTTTTTTTTTATAGGGATTGTTCCTGAAAGGTAGGTCACTGTCATCTAGCTCTGTTTCTTCATGCTTCTGAAGTCTCATGACCGATGCTTCAGTGGGGAAAGTAAGCAGTTGCCTCTGAAAACAACCACGCATAGATCCAAAAGAAGTCAAACAGGTTCTTGTCTCTTTCACCAAATAAGTGCATGACTTCCTTAATAAAAATAAACTAGCTCCCTCTACACTGGCAGTGGAGGTAGCCTCCAAATATTGTACAAGGTGTACTTATACCAAAAAAAAATTATTGTTGATGTTAAATTCAATTTTAACTGGACATCCTGCATTTTATCTGGCAACTATAACTAGGAAGCAAGGAAAAGTGGTGGTGGTGATAGGTTCTGTGTGAGAAGAAGGGAGAGGAAAACGTGGACTACGTGGGCAGGGCCAGTGCCCACTTGTGAAATAAACAGGATTTTTGTGGACAGACGATTTTAGTAAGTGAAGCAGTGCACTCTTGCTGGGTTTGAGTCCAAGACTCTGTGCCATTGAGGGCTGGTGGATTTTGAGTTCTTTTCTTTTCTGCTTTTGAGATCGTGCCTGACAGAGGTCCCTTTCACCCCACTGTCCTCAGAGAATGAGACTTTTCATGCCAGCCCAGATCTATTTGTTCTCTGAAGAACAAACATTCTGAGAAATGGAACATTGAGAGGAAAAAGAAGAGATATGCAGTGAAATGCCTAAAGTATAACCTAATCTGGGCCAAATGTAGCCCACAGGATCCTAAAATGAGACACGTGGGCACCTCCAGCCTCTAATTACACAGGGAGGATGACGCAGATTGGCTACAGCTTGGGTTGCTAGAGAGTACACAAAATCAGACATTTCTTTTCTTATGGGAAGCGGGGAAGCAGTCACTTTGGAGATGATGGGGTGGAGAGAAGGCACACATTTAATTCTTATCAGCATGAACATGTTTATTTCTACCTAATACAGTTTTAGAGATTTAAAGCATCCAAAATGTCCTGTATTTTATGAAATGAAATAAAGATGAAAGAGCTTAACATTGTTAGTTATTAGGGATAATGCAAATTTAAAACACAACAAGATACCACTATCTGCCTTCTACAGTGGCTAAAATTAAAGTACGAAACAAACAAACAAAAAACCAGACAGCACCAAGTGCTGACGAGGATTTGGATCAATAATGCAAAATGATAGCTACTTTGGGAAAGGGGTTTGGCAATTTCTTACAAAGTTAAACATACAGTTAGCATAGGACCCAGAAATCCCACCCCTGTTGGATGAATAACCCAGAAGTACATCAACTCAACTAGTAAATTGATAAACAAATTGTGTTATCTCTAAACAATGGAATACTACTCAAATGAAAAGGAACAAAGCTACTGATACATGCAACAACTTGGGTGAGTCTCAAAAGTATCACGTGAATGAAAGAAGCCAGACATAAAAGGCGATATTTCATTTACACAATATTTTGAAAAAGGCAAAAAACTATAGGGGCAGAAAGCAGATTAGTGGTTGTCTGTGGCTGGGTGTGGGCGAGAATTTTCTACAAAGGGGTATGAGGGAATTTTGTGGGGTGATGAAACTTTGATATCTTGATTGTGGTGGCGGTTATAGAACGGTATCCTCCAAAACTCATTGAATGTATGCTGTAAAAAGATAAATTATATTCTGTGTAAATTATACTTCAATAAACCTGACTTTTTTTTTTTTTTTTTTTTTGAGATAGAGTCTTGCCCTGTTGCCCAGGCTGGAGTGCAGTGGCCTGATCTCGCCTCACTGCAACCACTGCCTCCCAGGTTCAAGCGATTCTCATACCTCAGCCTCCCGAGTAGCTGGGACTGCAGGCATGCACCACCATGCCCTACTAATTTTTGTATTTTTAGTACAGATGGGGTTTTGCCACTTTGGCCAGCCTGGTCTCAAACTCCTGACTTCAAGGCATCTGCCTGCCTTGGCCTCACAAAGTGTTGGGATTACAGGCATGAGCCACCGTGCCCAGCCAATGAACTCAACTTAAAAAAACAAAACAAAACAAAACAAAACAAAAAAAAACTAAGGTATTATTTATTTGAGACAGGTTCTTGCTCTGTTGCCCAGGCTGGAGTGCAGTGGTGCAATCATAGCTCACTGAAGCCTTGATCTCCCTGACCCCAGCAATCCTCCCACCTTCCAAGTAGCTGGGACTGCAGGCTTGTGCCACCACGCCCAGCAAATATTTTTTATTTTTAGTGGAGACGGGGGTCTCATTATTTTGCCCAGATTGGTCTTGAACTCCTGAGCTCAAGCAATTCTCCTGCCTTGGCCTCCCAAAGTGCTGTGATTTCAGGTGTGAGCCACCATGCCTGGCCCTAAGTTTTTTTTTTTATATAATATTGTTGTCACCTATATTAATGTCAGCTAATATTCATTGAGTATTTAATATGTACTAGTCATTGGGCAGCATATAACACAGACACATGTGTGTGTGTTTACACATAAGATGATTTAAAATATGTTAGATGATTATTATGTATATTAGATTATTTTATATACACATGGATAGATATTACAGTGATTAGCAGATGAAACTAAGGCCCAGAAAGGTGGAGTAACTTGCTCTGGGTCACAGAGGCAGTAAGTGACAGTGCTGGGATTTGAGCCCAGTCTCTCTGATTTCAGAGCCATCACAGCTTGCTGCCTTAGTTCAAAGTGTAAGCATAGACAACTCACATATAGCTAGTCAGGGTTTCTCAGCCTTGGCACTGTTGACATTTTGGGCTGGATAATTGTTTGTATGGGGGGTATTCTGTGCATTGCAGGATGTTTGGCAGCATCCCTGGCCTCCACCCACTAGATGCCAGTAATGCCCCTTCAGATGTAACAACCAAAAATATCTCCAGACTTTGCCAAATATACGATGCGGCAAAGCAGTCTCCACACCCAATTAAAAACACTGAGATTTTAGGGTGCAGGACTTCCCAAGAGAAGACTCGCATGGAACCACTGAGAATACGGAAGATCCAGATAATAAATATGGTATATTTGGGTAGCTGGGTTGATGACTTAATTGTAGCGCTTGGGTCCTTGGTAAATCCCTAGAAGTTAATTAACTCTGTGTAAAGCTTATGTGAATAAATATTTATGCACATGGACATAGAAACACAAAGATGAAACTATAATGTTTCATGAAAAATACCCATGCCAAAATGCATGTTTTTTCCTCTTTTGCAGTCACCCTGGGAGGCTTTATGCTTCTGCCAGAGGTACCTCATTCCCCAGGATGGTGCCAGGCCTGCCTTTGGGACCAACCTCTGCTTTGAATTCTCTACCTGTGGCAAGTCTTCATCCTTTTGGAAACAACTAGAAGTTACCAAGGAGATGAGCAAGGTGGACAATCAAATTAGGTGATCATGTTACGGTTTTTCCCCCAAAGAAGACATGACCGTGAAGAAGTAAGATTGATCTTTCTGTGAAGTTTATTCAATGATTATTGTACATTGGTGATTTCCTTAAACAAATCATACAATAATAATACTAACTACCAGTCCCTGAGCACTTACAATGTGCCCTGTAGTCTGCAATATTCATCTCATGGAATCATAAGAATTATCTGACCTATCACCATACACAAAAATTAACTCAAAATCATGAACTTCCTAAATGTAAGAGCTAAAATCATAAAACTTTTAGAAGAAAAATCAGTGTAGATCTTTTTGACCTTGGATTAGGCAATAATTTCTTAGATACGACACTTAGAGCATAAGCAATTAAAAACATATAAATTGGGACCAGGAACAGTGGCTCACGCCTGTAATCCCAACACTTTGGGAGGCCAAGGCGGGCGCATCACCTGAGGTCAGGAGTTCAAGACCAGCCTGGACAACATGGCAAAACCTCGTCTCTACTAAAAATACAAAAAAATAGCCAGGTGTGGTGGTGGGCGCCTGTAATCCCAGCTACTTGGGAGGGTGAGGCAGGGAGAATTGCTTGAATCTGGGAGGTGGAAGTTGCAGTGAGCCAGATAGTGCCACTGCACTCCAGCCTGGGTGACAGAGCAAGACTCTATCTCAAAAATAAAATAAAATAAATAAAAAAGAAACTACATAAGTTGCTGAAGGTCATATAGTAAATAAGAGGGGTAACATTTGAAATCAACCTCTAGGCCACTGGGTCTCAACCAGCAACAAGCAGCATCAGCAACGCCTGGAAATTTGACAGAAATTCACATTATCAGATCCTATCCAAGACTTACTGAATCAGATATTCTGGGGTTCTCGAATTGGGGTGGGGCCTAGAATTTGTGTTTCAATATGCCTTGCAGATAACTGAAGCAGCCAAAGTTTGAGAAGCACTGCGCTGTGCTAGGTGATACTGCCACTCAGAGCCTAAACTAAGGCAGGTGTGTTAAAGATGAAAGCAGAAGACAGATCGGAGAATTATTTAGAAAGTTAAGAGCTCTGGGGCCAGGTGCGGTGACTCACGCCTGTAATCCCAGAACTTTGGGAGGCCAAGGCGGGTGAATCACCTGAGGTCAGGAGTTCGAGACTAGCCTGGCCAACATGGTGAAACCCCATCTCTACTAAAAATACAAAAATTAGCCAGGCGTAGTGGCAGATACCTGTAATCCCAGCTACTCTGTAGGTTGAGGCAAGAGAATTGCTTGAACCCAGGAGACAGAGGTTGCAGTGAGCTGAGGTCACGCCATTACACTTCAGCCTGGGCAACAAGAGTGAAACTGTCTCAAAAAAAAAAAAAAAAGAAAAAAAGAAGAAGAAAAAAAAAAGAGATCTGGGCGTGCCATAATCTCAGCACTTTGGGAAGCCAAGGCAGGTGGATCACTTGAGGTCAGGAGTTTAAGACCAGCCTGACCAACATGGTGAAACCCCATCTCTACTAAAACTACAAAAATTAGCCCGGCTTGGTGGTGGGTACCTGTAATCCCAGCTACTCAGGAGGCTGAGACAGAAGAATTGCTTGAACCCGGGAGATGGAGGTTGCAGTGAGCCAAGATTGTGTTACTGTACTCCTGCCTGGCCAACAGAGCAAAACTTCAACTCAAAAAAAGAAAGTTAAGGGTTCTGTTTAAAAGGCAGCTGGGATTACAGGCATGTGCCACCATGCCTGGCTAATTTTTGTATTTTTAGTAGAGATGGGATTTCACCATGTTGGCCAGGCTAACTCCTGACCTCAAGTGATCCGCCTACCTTGGCCTCCCAAAGTGCTGGGATTACAGACGTGAGCCACTGCGCTTAGCCAAGTATGCAGTTTCTCTTGGCCTGTTTCCTCTTCTGTATAATGCTGATACAAGCCTTACCTTTGAGAGTTGTATTACCTGAGATTATACAGGTAAAGCTTTTAGCATGTTAAGCCTGGACAAATAGGGGCTTAATAAAGGGTAGTTTTTTAGGCCCACATCATCTCTCTCCTGGGCTCACTACTGGTCTTCTCCATCCCTGATCATCCCATCCAAGTGATTCGTTTCTATCTCTGACCCCAACTATCTAACTTTCAGCTCTCTTACTTCATTTTGCTCACTGTGCCTGGTTTTCAGTTGTATTGAGGTTTTGGCCCTTTTATTATCTCCCGTTAGCCCCATCTGCTCCCGCACTCTGAATGGGATTTCTCTCCTCTCTGGCTAGACCACAGGTCTGTCCCTTTTGCCAGTGCCATTGATTTCCTTGACCCATATTCTTTGCAGTGCTGACCTTAGGAAACCTTGAGCTTATTGCGGGTATTTGTTGGCCTTCCCATATTCTACCTGACCTGCTGGATGCTGCTGGAGAAAGTGACGTAACAAGCTGCTCCTTATGGGTCTAATCTCAGAGTCCTCGAGCTGCTCTTAATCTCTTTATTTTCCCTTTTGAATGCAGCCATTTCAAACCTTCTCCAAACTCTTCCGACTTCCTACCACAACACCTTCCCGCTTCCTCTCAGCAGGTGATCTCGTGGTTTACAGAGGAAATAAAAGTGTCTATTGACTTCCTGCCACTGCTTCCATGGATTGACCTCTATCTACTCTTGTCCTCTCTTCTGCCCCTTTGCCTAATACTTCTATTGTGCTTGGGGCCCCTTTTTCAGTCCTGTGACCGCCCATACAGCTTTTTTTTTTTTTTTTGAGACAAGGTCTCACCCAGTCACCTAGGCTGCAGTGCAGTGGCATGATCATAGCTTACTGCAGCCTTGACCTCTTGGGATCAAGCCATCCTCCCACCTCATCCTCTCAAGCAGCTGGAACTACAGGCTCACATCACCATGCCCCACTAATTTTTTATTGTTTTGTGGAAATGGGGTCCCACTATGTTGACAGGCTGGTCCCGAACTCCTGAGCTCAAGTGATCCTCCCTCCTCAGCCTTCCAAAGTGCTGGGATTACAAGTATGAGCCACCACATCCAGCCGGGCCTAGTAGGGGGTGTGCAAATCTTTTCTGTATCATTCCAATTTTAGTATATGTGCTGCTGAAGTGCGCACTCTACTGCCTTTTAAAAATATTATTATTATTATTATACTTTAAATTCTAGGGTACAAGTGCACAATGTGCAGGTTTGTTACATAGGTATACATGTGCCATGGTGGTTTGCTGCACCCATCAACTCGTAATTTACATTAGGTATTTCTCCTAATGCTATCTCTCCCTCAGCCCCCCATACCCGACAGGCCCCGGTGTGTGATGTTCCCCACCCTGTGTCCATGTGTTCCCATTGTTCAACTCCCACCTATGAGTGAGAACATTCGGTGTTCGGTTTTCTGTCCTTGTGACAGTTTGCTTAGAATGATGGTTTTCAGCTTCATCCATGTGCCTGCAAAGGACATTAACTCATCCTTTTTAATGGCTGCATAGTATTCCATGGTGTTTAGGTGCCACATTTTCTTAACTAGTCTATCATTGATGGACATTTGGGTTGGTTCCAAGTCTTTGCTATTGTGAATAGTGCAGCAATAAACATACGTGGGCATGTGTCTTTATTGTAGAATGATTTATAATCCTTTGGGCATATGCCCAGTAATGGGATTGCTGGGTCAAATGGTGTTTCTAGTTCTAGATCCTTGAGGAATTGCCACACTGTCTTCCACAATGTTTGAACTAATTTACACTCCCACGAACAGTGTAAAAGCATTTCTATTTGTCCACATCCTCTCCAGCATCTGTTGTTTCCTAACTTTTTAACGATTGCCATTCTAACTGGCGTGAGATGGTATCTCATTGTGGTTTTGATTTGCATTTCACTGATGACCAATGATGATGAGCATTTTTGCATATGTCTGTTGGCTGCATAAATGTCTTCTTTTGAGAAGAGTCTGTTCATATCCTTTGCCCACTTTTTGATGGGGTTGTTTATTTTTTTCTTGTAAATCTGTTTAAGTTCTTTGTAGATTCTGGATATTAGCTGTTTGTCAGACGGGTAGATTACAAAAATTTTCTCCCATTCTGTAGGTTGCCTGTTCACTCTGATGATAATTTCCTTTGCTGTGCAGAAGCTCTTTAGTTTAATTATATCCCATTTGTCTATTTTGGCTTTTGTTGCTATTGCTTTTGGTGTTTTAGTCATGAAGTCTTTGCCCATGCCTATGTCCTGAATGGTATTGACTAGGTTTTCTTCTAGGGTTTTTATGGTGTTAGGTCTTACATTTAAGTCTTTAATCCATCTTGAGTTAATTTTTGTATACGGTGTAAGGAAGGGATCCAGTTTCTTTCTTTAATCTCTTTTTTCTATAAATGCCTATCCAATAACTTTTATTTATTCTTATTTTTATTATTTTCTTTAGAGATAGGGTCTCACTCTGTCTCCTGGGCTGGAGTGCAGTGGCACAATCTTGGCTTACTGCATCCTCCACCTCCCGGGCTCAAGTGATCCTCCCACTCCAGACTGCCAAGTAGCTGGGACTGCAGGTGGGCATCACTATTCCTGGCTACTTTTTTTTAACTTTTTGTAGTGACAGGGTTCTTGCTAAGTTGCCCAGGCAGGTCTCAAACTCCTGGCCTCAGGTGATCCTCCCTCCTTGGCCTCCCAAACTGCTGGGAGGCATGAGCCACCACACCCGGCCCCTGATAACTTTTAAATGCATTTAAATCTCTTTCAAATAATAATAATAATAATAATAATAATAATAATAATAAACCGCTATCTGATTTTGAGTCCATTCCTTCCTGCAGCCACTCTATCACTATCCTTCCCTTTATATCTAAGCCTCTTGAAAGAATTGTCTGTGCTTTCCACCTCTACTTCTTCCATTCTGATTCACTCTTCAGACCTTCATCATCTGGCTTTGCCTCCACCCTCTGCTAAGCCAGCTCTCTCTAAAATAACAAACGCTGCTCCTTGTTGCCAAATGTCCTGGACGCTTGACCACTCTATGACTTTTAACACTACCGACACATCCTCTGTAGGAGGCTGTTTCGAAAGCAGCTCACAGTGATCCCCACCTCCTGGTATTCACTCCCTTTTTTAATCCCTTCCTTTTGTGTGGGCTGAGCCTAGTATCTTGCTTCTAATGACTAGAATAAGACAAAAGTGAGATGGAATGACATAGCACTTACAAGATGAGGTTATAGAAGACTTGCTCACACTCTTTCATGGATTCTCCTTTCAGGTTTGCTCTGGTGAATGAAGCAAGCTCCCATGTTGTGAGGTGCCCTATGGAGAAATCCCCATGAGAAAGATCTGAGGCCCTCAGTCCAGCAGTCCTTAGAAAACTGAATCCTGTCAACAATTGAAACAGTTTGCCAATAGTTTGAAAGAGGATCACTATCTAGAGAAGCCTGCAGATGAGACCACGGCCTTGAGTGACACTTTGATTACAGCCTTGTAAGAAACCCTAAAACAGAGGACCCAGTTAGGTAGCGCAGGACCCTGTATCCACAGAAATAGCATGTGGTGTAACAAGAAATGTATTTGGTCTTGGTCTCTGGTTCTTGGCACAGAGCTCCTAAAGCCCTTGGTATTTCATGAGTTTCTTTTGTTATTCATAATGAACCCTTTTTGGTCACATCTGAGTTTATATTAATGAGGTAACTTGCCCCTAATAGCCTCAGGATGGGGCTGGTCACCAGAAAGACCAAGTGATTACAAGGTTAGAACTTTCAGGCCTACCAACAGACTTCCTGGAAGGGGCTAGAGATTAAGCTCTTTGAAAACTCTTGCACAACAATAATAGTGGGATGACAGGAGGGTGGTGGACCCCAACTCCACAGGGACAGAGCTCCTGTTCTTGGGATCCTTCCAGACTACACCCCATGTATCCCTTCATCTGGCTGTTCATCTGTTCTGATAAAAAACAAACAAACAAACAAAAAACAACAAAAAAAAAACTTCATGTAGTGAGCCAAGATTGTGTTACTGCACTCCAACCTGGGCCGCACAGCGAGACTGCATCTCAAAAACAACAACAACAACAAAAAAAAAAAAAAAAAAAAACTTCAGCCAAATTAAATTTAAAGGAGTTCAATTGAGCAATGAACGATTCACCAATCGAGCAGCCCCCAGAATCACAGCAGATTCACAGAGACTCCAGTGCAGCCACATGGTGGAAGAAGATTTATAGACAAAACAAACAAATAAACAAACAAAAACAAAGGAAATGACATACAGAAATCGGCAGTGAGGTACAGAAACAGCTGGATTGATTACAGGATGGCGTTTGCCTTATTGGAACCCAGTTTGAACACTTAGGCTATGAATGAAGTATGGCCACTGGGATTGGCCAAGACTCAGTTATTGTAACAGGCACATACTCCTAAGTTAGGTTTTCTTCTTTCTTTTTTTTTTTTTTTGAGATGGAGCCTTGCCACGATGCCCAGACTGGAGTGCAATGGAGCAATCTCGGCTCACTGCCACCTCTGCCTCCCCGGTTCAAGTAATTCTCCTGCCTCAACCTCCCGAGTAGCTGGGACTACAGGCGCACGCCACCATGCTCAGCTAATTTTTGTATTTTTAGTACAGATGGGGTTTCACCATATTGGCCAGGCTGGTCTCAAACTCCTGACCTTAAGTAATCTGCCCACCTCAGCCTCCCAAAGTTCTGGGATTACAGGCGTGAGCCACCACGGCTGGCCACTCCTAAGTTAGGTTTTCAATTTTGTCTGACTATTAAGCTAGGTTACAGTTCATCCACAAGGACTCAAATATAGAAGTATGGAATCTTTCTCAGGCCATATTTAGTTTGCTTTAACAGTACCCTTTATGATAAACCATAAACGTAAATAAAGTGTTTTTCTGAGTTCTGTGCCCCATTTTAGAAAATTATTGCACATGAGGAGAGGGTCATGGGAAACCCCAACTTATAGTGGGTGGATCAGAAGTACAAGAGGCCTGGACTTGAGATTGGCATTTTAGGTGGGAGCAGTCTTGTGGGATTGAGCCCTTAACTTGTGGGATCTGACCCAAACTCCAGGTAGATTGTGTCAGAATTGAATTGTGGGACACCCAACTGGTGTCAGAGCATTTTCAGTGTGGAAAAAAACCCTGTACACCTGGTGTTAGCAGTGTTCTGTGTGACAGTGTAGAGAGACAGAGTTTGTTTTATCAGACAGTGAGATAATAAATGTGTTTTGCTTTCAGCCACTAAATTTTGGGGTAATTATTTTAAATTTATTTATTTTTGAGATAGAGTCTTTCTCTGTCACTCAGGCTGGAGTGCAGTGGCATGATCTTGGCTCACTGCAACCTCCGCCTCCCAGGTTCAAGCGATTCTCTTGCCTCAATCTCCTGAGTAGCTGGGATTACAGGTGCCCGCCACCATGCCTGGCTAATTTTTGTATTTTTAGTAGAGTTGGGGTTTCGCCATGTTGGTCCGGCTGGTCTCGAACTCCTGACTTCAAGTGATCCTCTCACCTCAGCCTCCCAAAGTGCTGGGATTACAGGCATGAGCCACCATGCCTGGCCTTAAAATGTATTTTTAACTGACACATAATAATTATATATAGTTATGAGGCTGGAATAAGTTTTATACAGGAATAGATAATAAATATACCTCCCTTCTTAAAACTACTCTCCCATGAATTTGCACAACTGCTTTTCATTCTAACTCCATCAATTGCTCTCTTTCCTTTGTGGGCTCTTCTACTATTGCTGTTTTTCAGCTCCTGCTGTTTCCCCAAGGTCTTCTCTTCATCTCTGTATACATTTTCTTGCTGGTCTCATCCATTCAAATGCCATCTATAAGCCAGTGATCCCTCAAGTTTATATCTGTGGCTCTTTGGAGGACCAGACCCATATATTCAACTGCCTAAAGAGAATTCCCACCTGGACATTGCTCTCACAAGACACGGACTCAGCATGTCAAAAAAGGAACTTGTCACTTCCCATCGGACTCTGTATCCTTCTGTGTTTCTTGCCTCAGTAAGCCACAATCACCCGGTTGCTCAAACCAGAAACCTGAGAGTTGTCTTTGTTTTTTCAACAAATATTGATGGAGCACCTACAATGTGCCAAACTGCTTTAGGCTCATGGATAGTGACATTCCTGTGGGAGACAGACAATGAGGATAATCGACTATAATAGTATGTTAGAGTGCTGCACACACACACACACACACACACCCATACACACGTCTCACAGTAAGTGCTGTGGGGAAAAACTGAGCAGGCAGAAGAATGTATGTCACAGTACATGAGTTGTAACATTAGGTGGTGAGAATAGACCTCTCCAAGAAGGAGACACTTGAAGAAAGAGAGGTCTATGCTATGTGAATATTTGGGAGAAGAGCATTTCAAGAGGGGACAGTGAGTGCAAATGCCTTGACCAGTGCCTTAACTGGGGGTTTGGGGAACAGCAAGGTGGCCAGTGTGGCTGGAACAGAGCGAGACAGAGGGAGATTTTTAGTGATGAGGTTAGTGAGGCACCCAAGCCCAGGTCATGGACAGCATTCCTGGCCATTGTAAGAAGCCTGGGCTTTACTCCGAGTACAATAGGAAGCTGTGGAGGGTTTGCAATGGAGAAATCACATGATCACTCTGGTTACTATCTTTAGAGTAGGTTGTAGAGAAACTATTCCTCTTATTTTTATCTCTTAGCCCCCAAATCCTACTTTTCTCACTAAACCCCATTTATTTTACCTCTTAAATATATCTTGAATCCATCTAGTTCTCTTAATTTCTATTTTAACTACCTAAGTCAAGCCAACAGCAGCCTTCATTGAATGATTCATTCAGTCAGTCATTCAACGAATACTTACTGAGCAGCTATTATGTTCTAAGCACTATTCCTATTCTCTATGCTTGGAACACAGCAATGAACAAAAATAAAAAAGAAAAGAAAAAAGAAGAGACCAGCCTATGTGGAGCCTACATTTCTCCCTCAGATTTATTGCTTTTTAAAGAACTTCACTTAAGTTGTCTTAGGAACTTATTTGGTTACTTGCTCATTGTATCCTCTCCTCACCAGAGTGTAAATGTTGTGAGATCAGGCACATTATCAATTTTGTTCACCAGCCATATTCTCAGTGCGTAGAATAGCACCTGTTACATAATATGTACTCAATAAACACTAATTGAATGAACAAAATACTGCAACAGACTCCTAATTGGTCTGTTTCCAGTGACTTTTAAACTTTCTTTGACTTTGACCCACAGTAAGAAAAATATTTTGTGCTGTAACCTAGTAACACTTACACACATGCATACATGCTTATAGATGCATATGTAAAATTAAAAGTATTGTTACATGTGATGCCATCTGATTGTATGTGAAGCCGTCTGATAATATTTATTGTATCCTATTATGTTTTACTGAAAAAAAACTCTGCCAGTTACAACTTAAAGAAAATTAAAAAAAAAATTTTTTTTGAGATGGGGTCTCACTGTGTTGCCCAGGCTGCTCTTGAACTCCTGGGCTCAAGTAATCTTCCCACCTCAGCTTTCCCAGTAGCTGGGATTGCAGGTTGCACAACTGCACCCAGCACAACTTTAAATTTGATTTCAGAATCCACTCATGTGACTTAACCAGAAGTTTGGCAAATACTGTCCTTATCTATTCTCCACAACCAGAGTGCTCTTTCTAACCTAGAAGTATTCTTATGTGACTTCCCTACATAAAAGCTTTCCATGGCAATCTGTCAGCCTCAGGCATTTTTGCCCAAACGTCAGTCATTCATGGTTGTTCATGTACCAACTATAATCTAGGTAGTATTCTGTCAGTTGAATTACTTTTGTCAGTCAACCTCATCCTAAGCAAAAATATAAGATAAGCAATGTGTTGCATGTATGAAATAGATCTATATCTATCTATCTATATATTTTCTATGCGTGTTCACCCCATTAACTACAAAAATTAAAAAAAATAGTATTCTGTGTACCATCTAAGATCTTCTTATCATCCAGCCACACTTTGGGAAAGACTGTTCTTGGGATAAAGGAAGGTCAGATACCTCAACTAAGTCCACAAGGCACTCTGGAGCTTGCTGGTGCTTTCCACTGCAGTATCATTTTTTTTTTCTTTTTTACCACTTCCTGCATGCATTCATTCGGAATGACTCGCAGGTGCCTGAACACACTGAGCTCCTTTTGGCACTAGGACTCTGCATATGCCATCTCCTTCCTCTGCTCAGGACTCCACCAGTACCACCCCCTTTCATGTCTCAGCTAAAATGTCATGTTGGGGAAGCTGTCCTGGCCCGGGGCTGCACAGGTCCTCTTCCAGTGTCCTCCTCCAGCGTCCGGTGCTCATCTCTATATTAGAATGTATCACCCTGCAGTGAAGCAGTTTATTCACCTGTTTTACTCCACCAACTGATGGTTGTAAGCTTCTGGCCTAGAAGAGTATTTTATTTACCACAGTATTTCTGGTATTTAGTATAGTCCCAGACATTCAATAACAATTTGTTTGATGAATAAAAGAACAGATGTACGGATTTCTCAATGGACTGAATATCCCTGACACTCAGCTCATTGCCTGACACATACTAGGTATTCAAAAACCACGATTGAGCAATTGAAAGAAGTGAGGGCTCATTCTCACCCTAGCTACATTATCTATTTACTTATTTATTTATTTTTTGAGATAGAGTCTTGCTCTGTCACCTAGGCTGGAGTGCAATGGTGATCATAGCTCACTGCAGCCTCAACTGCCCAGACTCAAGCAACCCTCCTACCTCAGCCCACCAAGTAGCTGGGACCACAGGCATGCATCACCACACCCGGCTAATTTCATTTTTAAAATTTTTCTTGACACAGGGTCTTACTCTGTATGCCCAGGCTGGAGTGCAATGGTGTGATCATAGCTCATTGCAGCCTTGACTTCCCAGGCCCAAGTGATCCTCCCACCTCAGCCTCCCAAATAGCTGGGACTACAGCCATGTGCCACCATGCCCAGCTAATTTTTTGATTTTTTGTAGAGATGGCGTCTCACTATGTTGCTCAGGCTGGCCTCAAACTCTTGGGCTCAAGCGATCCTCCCACCTCCCAAGGTGCTGTGATCACAGGCATGAGCCACTGCGCCCGGCCTCCTCCATTAGTTTACAGCTTCTCATGAACTTAGAACGTGTCTTAGTCTTCTTTGAACCTTAACACTGTGTTCTTACACAGCTACATACTTTTCTTCAGGAAGTGTAAAATGGTTGCCTTCGTGAAAAATCAAGTAGGAAAGAAAAGGTAAAACAGAGTTAACCCCAATGCTTAATTCTTGTGTCTTTGCCTGTTTTGACCTTTTCCCCATATCTTCCCCTGTGTCCCTCCAAACCACAGTTACTGCACAGCTGATAGGCTTTAGTGCAATCCTGTATCTGTTTTATCCCTTTTGTGGTGCCATTTGTAGCTCTTGGCATGTGGGTTTTAAATAAATATTTAAGCCGAATATTGGCAAGTTAGAAAGATAGTAATGGAGGGAAAATGGACGCTTTTTCTCTGTGTTGAATTACTACATATAACAGGGTAGTTTTGATATACTTTGATGAGCCCAGAATTCTCACATGCTTTTTAATTCAAATCATATTGAGAGTAAAAACAAGAAATAAAAAAATCATTTCTGCATTATATTGCACCATCTTGGCAATAAGCAAATTGTGAGATCTCTGAACACTCTGGGATGGTAAAAATTGTTATTATTTCTCTCTTATGAAAACCCACAACTTTAATACATGAATAGTTAACTTGTCTTCATTCTGGTTAAACTTTGGGAAAGAAGAGATAGGCACTTGATTCACTGGTGTTGGCCGGATAGAAAGTAGCAAGCATCCTTAAAATAGACCAATGTCATCAGCCTTATAAAATTGTTGAGGCAAAGATTATGCTCAGAAATAAAATATCTGAAAAATGGCAGTTTTTTTTTGCAGGTTAATTTTTTTTCCTAGTGCCATCTACCTATTGCATACCCTTTTTATTCCCCATGGAAAACATTCTGAAAGGTATTTTCCCACCTAAATCACCTCTCTCAACATGTTCTTTTTTTTTTTTTTTTGTCCTTGTATAGTTTCTCTTCTTTTCCTCACCCCAATCCACTTGTAGAAACTGATGTCTTTTCTCTATTGAATTTTATTTTTAGGAAATTTGGTTCAGTGTTACCTTTAGGTTATTTTAAATAGTAATAATAGCAACTACAATATCAACACCACATAGAACATTTAACTATGTGTCAGTTATTGTTCTAACTGCTTTACATTGCCAGGTGTGGTGGTTCATGCCTGTAATCCCAGTATTTAGGGAGGCCGAGCTGGGAGGCTCGCTTTGAGGCCAGGACTTTGAGATCAGCCTGGGCAATACTGCCAGATCCTATTGCTACAAAAATACAAAAATCAGCCAGGCATGGTGGTGCACACTTGTAGTCCCAGGTACTCAGGAGGCTGAGGTGGGAGGATCACTTGAGCCTGGGAGTTTGAGGCTGCAGTGAACTATGATTGTACCACTGCCTTCCAGCCTGGGCAACAGAGACCTTGTCTCTAAAATAAATAAATAAATAAACAAACACTAAACTACTCTATGTTAATATTTAATAGCCATAATATCCCTAAAAAGAAGGTACTATTCTTAGCTCCATTTGCTAGATGGGGCACTTGACAGCACAGAGAGGTTAAGTAACTTAAGATTGCAAAGCCAGTAAGTGGTAGAGTCAGGATTCAAACCCTGGCTTCAGCTGCAGAATCTGTGGACTTAATCACCAGACTAACCTCTAGGCACTAGTAGATATTATCCTCATATTATTTATTTTTTCCTTACCCACAAATATCATCCTGGCCCAAGACCTCATTTTCATTCATTCTTATGTATCTTGGCCTTTCAGTGGTGTCTTCCCTTGTGCCCCTCTAAACCATAGTTATCTCACAACTGATGAACTTTAGTGCAACCTAGTACCTTCTTTAGATGTTTCTAAGAGGTGCAGGGTTTTTTGTCTCAAACTCAAGAAATTACCTCCACTCTATATCCTCAGCAGGAGACAGTAGACTATTCATTAGTTTTAGAATATATCAGCTATCTGGGATGCCCTTTGCCCTCCAGCGGAGGGCTAGGTAAGAGAGAATAAACAAAAAAGCTAAGAAATTTCTGGCAAATAACCTTTCACCTAGGTCCCCAACCCTTCCATTTCCCCAGGCCTGAAGCATATCTGAAGCAGGAATTCAGGGGGTCCCAGGATGTCCCAGGAAAAGAACTCCTTTAGGAACAGGAAAAGCCATATTTTTCTGGGTACAGTAGGAGTGACGCAGTAGAGGCAGGTTCTTGTGGATTAATCTGTAGCAAAGCTATGAATTTAGAGTTTTGCAAAGAAAAGGACAAGTTTATCCTTAAGGTAGAACCAGCTTTGACGAATGGCTAGTGCTGCAGGGAGCCATAAGGATAGAGAAGACAGAACTTCCATCTAGTCTTGAGTCTGAGAATACTAGAAAAAAGGAAGGAAAGAGATTACTAGAGGAGGGTCTGAAGACCTGGTGAAGCAGGAAAGAGATGGAAGTACATTCTTCTCCTGGAAGGAGTGCAAAGACCAAGCCTCAGAACTAATTCCAGAGCCAGAAGAGAGGAAAGAGGCCTTGGGAGTCCCTGAGAATCTCACCTGTCAGAACAGCGGTGCCAGCCTCTATGGGTTAGGTCACATCAGAGAAGATATACCGGGGGCTATGGACTTAATCTGGCCCACAGGCATGTTTTGTCTGACATGCTTTTGTGTTCTTAAAAAAAAACAGAATGAGTTGTCAACATTTAATATTTGTGAGGTTTCACCCCAAAACTCAGATTCCTGACTTCTCTTGATTTCCTAAATATTACATTCCCCCTTGGAAACCATCAGCTGGAAGTGTCTGTGCCCTTTAGATTTGCTTGAGCTGTGGACCTTTATGTTTAGGTTAAAACATCAATCTCAAAAGTTTACATGCTGTATGATTCCACTTAGATAACATTTTTGAAATGATGAAAGTATAGAGATGGAGAATAGTTTAGTGGTTACTAGAGGACAGGCATGGAGTTGGGTGAGCGGTTGCAGTGCGGAAGGGGATTTGTGAATACCAAAAGGTAGTATGAGGGAGTTCTTTTGTGGTGATGGAACAGTTCTATGTCTTCATTATAGGAGTGGTTACAAGGATCTGTAAGTGAGGTAAAGTTGCATTGAACCACACACACACACACACACACACACACACACACACAAAACAGAACACAGGTTAAGAAAATGGCAAGTAATAAGTTCTGAAGTCTATAGTAAACAGTAATGTACTGTTGTCGATTTCCTGGTGTGAAAGTTGTCACAATCAAAATGGAGTTACTAATGTTAAGAAACCCTGACAAACAGAGCTAGGGAAGGCTGCCTACGAAGAGAGGGTTCTTACATTTGTATACCTGATAACAAAAACTATCAAAAAAAGACTGCAAAACCCACAACCTTGCACAAAGGCCATCACAACCTTACATAAAAAAATACTTCTGCAAGGACATCTCCCCAGCAAATGCCTGTCCAACCTCGGACTGGCGTCACCCTTGTTATTGATCTTTGTAGTCAAGGATAATTATTTCAAAACAATTATGTAATCCTTTCCATTTTTTCCTTTAAACACCTTTGTCTTCCTTTACATCCCTGAATATGCGGTTAACTGTGATGTGTATATTTTCATTGCAATGCTCTATTCCCAAATAAACATTATTTTCTTTTAGAAAGCCTCTCTGTTATTTAGGTTGACACTGATTTTGATGTCTTACTAGAGCTTTGTAAGATGTCACCATTGGGGAAAGCATGGGACTCTGGACTATTTTTGCAACTTCTTGTGAGTCTATAATTATTTCAAAATAAAAAGTTAAAAAAAAAAAAAAGGAAAAGTAAGTAGGCTGAGTACCTACGGGTGGTGTTTAGGGAAGTGAGCAAGAGGAGCATGGAGAGCCAACCTGAAGCTGAGAAGTTTTTCCAGTTTAACTTATAAAGGACCTAAGCTTGCTCCTCACCATCGCTTTTGCTGTTACTATCCCTGTAGTGCTCTTCGTTCTGCCCATTTTAGACAGCTGTTTCTCTATCGCTTGTTAGGCTGCTGAGCAGAGAACTAGATCTATTCCTAATAGCAAACCAATCAATCCTAGCCCATTGGATGTAACCTCCAGGCCTTGAGCCCTTTTCAGTTATTAGTTTTCCCACTGCCTAATACTGAGAGTCGGCTTTCTTGCTGCCAGAGGTGTTTTTCATTATGACGTCTGAATTTGATGCCACTGCGGGTGCTAGAAGTTGCCAGAAGGCTGTCCTCCAGATAACTGTCCCTTGGCTCTAACTTGTGTCATTGTTTTGTTGCAATTAACATTCAGAATATGTGCGGTCATCTTATTAAAATTTATATTTTTTAATGGAGAAAGCACACAGAGAGAGTTGATTGTGGAGCTGTGGTTTACTCTTGCTCTTAGTTACCTGTGTCTAAATTAAGCTGAACCTCTGGGCCTTAGCTATTTCTAAACAGGCATCACGATTTACTAAGGTTAATGCCTGAGGGAACATTAACCTTGCAGACACTAATCTAATTCAGTGTCATCACAAGTGCATAATGCAGGAGTTTGGAATTTTGCCAAAAAGCACTATTCAAATGAACATTTAGTTGGCAAGGGGTGGGAAGGCGGGTGTGGAAAAGGGAAGGAGAACACCAGAAATGGCTCTATAGATATTTTCATGCCTTTTCTTTTCCCTCTCCCCTCAAAGGTTACGTTTAAGTATTGCAGAGAGGCGCTAAATGGAATCTTCATATTATTATGAAGAAATCCCAATGAACGCGTTTTATCCCACGGCAAGTTCCAGATGCTCACAATTACTCAACATTCACTGAGCATCTTTTATGTTATATGGCTGACCTTGTGCTAGGGTGTGTACACAAAGATGAGTAATTGTAAACGATGGCAGTATGCAGAAGCACCTCAGGGCGCCTAATGTTAGCTGACGAAGGCACCATTAAGGAGGTCACAGTTTGGCTAAAGGGCCCCCAAAGGATGAGACAACTGTGTAATCCTAGCTCTATAGAGATCATTACCAAGTCTTTGCCATACAAAGTTTGGGCTTCAGGTGAAATGAGAAGGGCAAGGTTCTGCCCAAGAGGGTCCAGGGCCGGATCTCTTGATCTGTGTCTATGCCCACACCCTGCATCTCAGCTTGCAGACACTAATAGGGTTTGCCAGTTTCAAGGGCGCAGGGCTACATCTTCCGGAAAAGGTGGCATTTGAAGGTGGTAAGAGGCCAACGACTGGAGGTGGCGGCGAAGGGCTAGGTAAGACAGAATAAATGAAAAAGCCAAGACATTTCTGGCAAATAACCTTTCACCTAGGTCCCCGACCCTTCCATTTCCCCAGGCCTGAAACGCTCCCGAATCCCCGAGTCCTCCACTTTCCAAGCGCTGGGCATTGGTTAAGGCTGTAGGAGCAGGGAGTCCCCCGCTCTAAGAGAGTTCCTCAGTTCCGATCTTTTTCAAACCGCTTTCCTCCCAGGCCCAGCCTGGGGGGCCTGCGGCTCGGGTCCAGCTTCCACGGCCACCCTGGGCTGGTGACACGCAGGCGCCGGAATCGAAGCCACGCTGTGTCTTTCCAGCCAGGTCTCTGCGCCAGACGAGGGCGGGCGCCGCGGAGCGCTTCCCGTGTGCGGGGCTTCCCACAATGCACCGGGCCGGCAGTGGCGGCGACCGCGGCGGCGCTCTAGCTGCGGCATGTCTGCGTCTCTACTGCTCTGGGAGGAGGAAGAGAAGGAGGAAGAGGAGGAGGAGGAGGAGGGGGAGGAAGAGGAGAAAGGCGCAGGGGTGGGAGCTGTTGCCGAAGCTGCCACAGCAAAAGTTCTCCCCCCTCCCCCCTTCCCCTCCTCTCAAGGCCCCTAGAAAGGTTGGAGCTGCCGCCGCCTGCAGTCGGTGACCGCGCGACTCGGCGCCCGCCCGCGGTAAAGCGCTCGGCCTGGCAGGCCCGGGCCCGGGGGAGGGCGGGGGAGGGGGAGGGGGCGGCGCGCGGGGGGAGCGCGCGGCGGTAACGGCCTGACCCCGGGGGGAGCGAGCCGTGGCGAGGCTGGGGGTGGCCAGGGGGCCAGCCGAGGCCGAGGGAAACGCTGGGGCTGGCTGGGGGACGTGAGGAAGCAGGGCGCGGAGGGTGGGTTGGGGGGTTGAGGAGGGATAATGACGGGGGTGGCGGAGGCGAGAAGGCGGCCTCCGAGGCTGGAGGCGGGTGTCAGAGGTAGGGGAGGAGGTGGGATGTTTGCACGGGGAGGCCGGAGGGTGCTGGGTGTGGGTGTGAAAAGGCTAGGGAGACACCAGGGCTCTGTCCACCGTGCCTGGTGCAGTGCTTTATGCACCGCAGGCCTCAGTCACTGTTGCTGCCGGAGTGTGCTCTTTGGGAGAAGGGAAGGGCAGGGGTTGGAGAAAAGGGAATGCTTGCAGGAAACGTAGTGGGAGTGCGAACAGGGCGAGGGGCCGGAGGAAAGATGCCGGAGAGGTGGAGGAATGCGGGGAGGTGGCTGTGGAGGAGTCTTGAGGATTCTGGGGGGTGTTCATTGTGCAGATACGTTAGGTATTTCATTATGGAAAGAACTGAAGCGTTTCTCAGGGAAGGAAAGAAGGGAGATAGGAGTTCCCGTGAATAGAAAGGATCGCGTTTGAAGCAAGAGGGAGTGCTAAATAGTAGAGAAGATGCAGGGAATGCATAATAGAATAGACAGATGTAGTATAATTAATAAATATTGGCCTAAGTACTGAAGAGTTATTCCAGATGGGCCGGGATGGCCTAGTTCCGAACCTGTGTGGGCTGTTCAGTAGATGACATCTGGTAAGTGTGGGTCTGGGCCGTGGTTGGGGTCACTGAGAATTAGATTTTAGTCTGTAGTTTGGTCTGTGACATTTTAGACGTGCACCAATGAGTATGAGAACCTCTGAAGCAGACCTTGAGAAAGGGTCTGGCCTGTGGGGATTCCTTAGGCTATGGAGCTTCGATTTTAGAAAATTTGAAGTATTAACACTTACCCGAGGTTGGGTAAATACTATCCTGGCAAACGCTGGAATGGAAATTAATTGACTTGGTGGTTTTCTTCACTGCCCAGTTTATCTGGTCCAGGAGAATTGGTGCCGTATTATTCAGCCTGGATTGCAGTACACAAGATTATAATTAATGGTCGGGGGGAAGACATGCTTGCTGGCTCTTCTTTAGATACTTCATTTGTAGCTCAAATTAGTTGGCTGGATTGGTTCCATAAATCTGTGGCTGGTGGGAGATCTTCTGCCATTCACAGTTCCTGAAGTGAACTGTGAGGGAGTTCTCCAGTGAGAGAATACTCTCATTCAGGCATGATGGCATTGAAGAAAACGTATCAGCCAGCAAAGTGTGGGCCTGCAGAATGGAGGAGCTAGAATATCTGTTTTGGTTTTAGGTTGCAAGGAGGTCAGGACTAGTTATCAGAAGGTCTAGGGGAACCTAGGAGACTGGACGACTCTAGAGCCAGGTTGGAGGGAGGATTAGCATCTCTATGTCAGGAAATGAACCAAGCTCTCTCTGGATTTGCTGAGCTCACACCAGACCAGATTTCCAAGAGGGAACTCTGGGCTAGAACCATACTCTTAAAAACTACCCGGATATTATTCACCTTTTATTAAGAAAAAACTATATACAGCTGGGCGCGGTGGCTCACACCTGTAATCCCAGCACTTTGGGAGGCCGAGGCGAGCGGATCACCTGAGGTCAGGAGTTTAAGATCAGCCTCGCCAACATGGTGAAACCCCATCACTATGTGAAACCCCACCATGCCAGGCTGGTGTCGAACTCCTGGCCTCAAGTGATCCGCCCGCCTTGGCCTCTCAAAGTGCTGGGATTACAGGTGTGAACCACCATGCCTGGCCAGGTCTTTTTTAAACATAGTATGCTGTACTCAATTTTATTGTCATCATGGCATGAGAAGGCTAGTCTTCCTTCCCTTTTCCCTCACCAGCACTGTATATTATCTGTTCTTTTAATTTTTGTAAGCAGAATGCACTTAAATATGTCATTATTGTCTTTCTACCCTTTTTAAAAAAATTTTTATTTATTTATTTTTTTGAGACGGAGTTTCACTCTTGTTGCCCAGACTGGAGTGCAATGGCGTGATCTCGGCCCACTGCAACCTCCACCTCCCGGGTTCAAGCAATTCTCCTGCCTCAACCTCCCAAGTAGCTGGGACTAAAGGTGCCTGCCGCCACCCCTGGCTAATTTTGTATTTTTAGTAGAGATGGAGTTTCTCCGTGTTGGTGAGGCTGGTCTCGAACTCCTGACCTCAAGTGATCCACCCGCCTTGGCCTCCAAAGTGCTGGGATTACAGGCGTGAGCCACTGTGCTCGGCCTCTACTCTTTTATTATAAAATTGTTCTGAGGGAACTTACAATGAAAAACAGCAGCCCCTGTCTCACCTGCCTATTGCAGTTCCACTTTACTGAGGCTGCTACTTTTAAGCATTAATTTTGTATTTCTTACCATGCTTTTTTCCATGTCTCCAAGTAATGGGCATATAATATTATTTCTTGATTTATCAAAATGACATTATCGGAGTCAGAAGATGTTTATGAATGTGTCATTGACATTATCCCCTTTCTCCTCCTTTCTGACCTTTGATATTTATTTTAGTTATTTTATTCAGTGTGTTTATATTTTTAAATAATATGCTTAAACCTTGATTTTAGAATCCAACAATCTTAGGCTGTATCTCTTGATTTCCCCATTGTATTTTAGGGATTTAGCCTAGGTATGGCTTTCCTGAAGTAGAAAGAACATTGACAATTAGACTAAAAA